>NC_000006.12:94115157-94266096 GCF_000001405.40 Homo sapiens | reverse complement strand
CCTTCACCCTCAAGTAGACCCCAGTGTCTGTTGTTTCCTTCTTTGTGTTAATAAGTTCTCATCAAATGAGAATATCTGGAGTATTTGGTCTTCTGTTCCAGAATTAGTTTGCTGAGGGTAATGGCCTCCGGTTGCATCCATGTTCCTGCAAAAAGACATGATCTTATTTTTTATGGCTGTATAGTATTTCATGGTGTAGATGTAGCACATTTTCTTTATCCAATCTGTCATTGGTGGGTATTTAGTTTGCTTCTATGTCTTTGCTATTATGAATCGTGCTGCAATGAACATTTGTGTGCATGAGTCTTTATGGTAGAATGATTTGTATTCCTCTGGGTATATACCCAGTAATGGGATTGCTCAGTCGAATGGTAGTTCTGCTTTTAGTTCTTTGAAGAATCTCCATACTGCTTTCAAAAATGGTTGAATTAATTTACACTCCCACCAACAGTGTATGTGTTCCCTTTTCTCTGCAACCTCGCCAGCATCTGTTATTTTTTGACTTTTTGATAATAGCCATTCTGACTGCATAATATGTTCTTTTCACTCCATAATCTAACACCTGTCTAATTCTTTAGACCCATCATTACCTCCTCTAATCTTGGCTCATTTCAGCTGAGGCTACAATATATTCTCTGTTTTAGGAAAATGTGTATTGACTTAGGAGGTGATATGGTTTGGCTGTATCTCCACCCAAATCGCATCTGGAACTGTAGTTCCCATATTCCCTGCATGTCCTGGGAGAGACCCAGTGGGAAGTAATTGAATCGTGGGGTTGGTTACCTCCATGTTGTTCTCGGAATAGTGAGTGAATTCTCATGAGATATGCTGGGTTTATAAGGGGCTTTCCCCCCACTTCACTCTGCACTTCTCTTTCCTTCCACCATGTGAAGAAGAACAAGTTTGCTTCCTCTTCTGCCATAATTGTAAGTTTCCCAAGACCTCCCCAGCCATGCTGGACTATGACTCAATTAAACCTCTTTCCTTTTTAAATTATCCAGTTTTGGGTATGTCTTTATTAGTAGTGTGGGAATGCACAAACGCAGTAAATTGGTACCTGGTAGTGAGGCATTGCTGTAAAGATATCCAAAAATGCAGAAGTAACTTTGGAACTGAGTAAAAGGCAGAGGTTGGAACCATTTGGAAGGCTCAAAAGAAGATAGGAAAATGTGGAAAAGTTTGGAACTTCCTATAGATTTGGAGGGCTCAGAAGACAGGGAGATGTGGGAAAGTTTGAAACTTCCTAGAGATTTGTTGAATGACTTTGACCAATATTCTGATAATGATATGGACAATAAAGTCCAAACTGAGGTGGTCTCAGATGGAGATGAGAAACTTGTTGGGAACTGGAAAAAAGGTGACTCTTGTTATGCTTTAGCAAAGAGACTGGTGGAATTTTGTCCATGCCTAGAGATCAATGGAACTTTGAATTTGAGAGAGATGATTTAGGGTATCTGGCAGAAGAAATTTCTAAGCAGTAAAGTGTTCAAGAGGTGACAGAACACAAAAGTTTGGAAAATTTGGCAGGGCGCAGTGGCTCATGCCTGTAATCCCAGCACTTTGGGGAGCCGAGATGGGCGGATCACGAGGTCAGGAGATCGAGATCATCCTGGCTAACACGGTGAAACCCCATCTCTACTAAAAATACAAAAAAAAAAAAAAAAATTAGCCGGGCGTGGTGGTGGGCGCCTGTAGTCTCAGCTACTCGGGAGGCTGAGGCAGGAGAATGGTGAGAACCCGGGAGGCGGAGCTTGCAGTGAGCCGAGATCGCGCCACTGAACTCCAGCCTGGGCGACAGAGCAAGACTCCGTCTCAAAAAAAAAAAAAAAAAAAAAGGTTTGGAAAATTTGCAGACTGAAGATGCAGTAGAAAAGAAAAAAACCCGTTTTCTGGGGAGAAATTTAAGCTAGCAGCAGAAATTTGCTTAAGTAATGCGGAACCAAATGATGTTAATCACCAAGACAATGGGGAAAGCATCTCCAGGGCATGTCAGAGACATTCATGGCAGCCCCTCACATCACAGGCCCAGAGGCCTAAGAGAAAAAAAAATGGTTTCATGGGCCGGGACCAGGGTGCCCTTGCTGTATGTAGCCTACGTACTTGTTGCCCTGTGTCCCAGTTGCTCCAGCCTTGGCTAAAAGGGGCCAAAATACAGCTAAGGCCGTGACTTCAGTGGACCTCCACCTAGATTTTAGAGGATATGTGAAAACACATGGATATCCAAGAAGAAGTTTATTGCAGGGGCAGGGCCCTCATAGAGAACCTCTACTAGGGCAGTGCAAAAGGGAAATTTGGGGTTGGAGACCCCAAACAGAGTCCCCACTGGGGCACTGCCTAGTGGAGCTATGAGAAGAGGGCCACTGTCCTCCAGACCCCAGAATGGTAAATCTACCGACAGCTTGCATTGTGCACCTGGAAAAGCCACAGACACTCCATGCCAGCTCATGAAATCAGGCAGAAGTGGGGCTGAACCCTGCAAAGCCACAGGGGCAGAGCTACCCAAGGCCATGCGAGCCAACCTCTTGCATCAGCATGACCTGGATGTGGGTCATGGAGTCAAAGGAGATCACTTTGGAACTTTAAGGTTTAATGATGGCACTATTGGATTTTGGACTTGCATGGGGTAGATCTTTTGTTTTGGCCAATTTCTCCCATTTGGAATGGGTTTATTTACCCAGTTCCTATACTCCCGTTATATCCAGGAACTAAATTGCTTTTGATTTTACAGGCTCATAAGTGAAACGTACTTGCCTTGTCTCAAATGAGACTTTGCACTTGGACTTTTGGGTTAATGCTGGAATGAGTTAAGAGTTTGGGGAACTGTTGGAAGGGCATGGTTGTGTCTTGAATTGTTAGGACATGAGATTTGGGAGGGGCCAAGAGTAGAATGATATGGTTTAACTGTGTCTCCACCCAAATCTCATCTTGAACTGTAGTTCCCATTATTTCCACATGTTGTGGGAGGGATCCAGTGGGAAGTAATTGAATAATGGGGGGCAGTTACCTCCATGCTGTTCTCATGATGGTGAGTGAGTTCTCAGGAGACCTTCACTTCTCCTTGATGCCACCATGTGAAGAAGGACATGTTTGCTTCCCCTTCAGCCATGATTGTAGGTTTTATGAGCGATGAAATGACACAGCACTAAAAAAGGCCCTTAGAGGTTACTTGGAAATATAATATGACTTTATAAACTTATTTATGTAGGAAAATATGATGCCCTGAATTCCAAACAAAAATGTGTAAGTGAATGTTTAAAAAAAGTCTTAAAGTTGTCTATTTTATCTCACTTAGCAAGATAAAATTATCTACTTTATGATTTTGTATTCTAGAAATAAGTTTCTGCACACTTGAAATATTCAGATGATAATTTAAATTGCTAAAGAGCACTGAAAATTTAAATTATTCATTCATGATAGTCAGTGTTTCATACCACTCAGAGCATCTGTGAGGTCAAACTGGCCATAGAAGCCTTCAGTTTTCTGTTCCTTTATGACACGATTCCAGATCAACTTTTGCCCTCTCACCTTCTCTCTCAGTTAGAGGCTATCACACCATAATAGAATATTGCTTATTTCTTTCTAATTATTACCATCAAAATAAAATATTTTAATATAAAGTTATGTGCAAGGGGCCAGCTGAGTGTTGAACCTATGCATGTTTGCCTACAAACCTGTCAGAGAACTCTCAAAGAGAGTATGACCTTACTCCAAAGGGCATGAAGAATGAAGGGAATACCTATTTATGCTTTGGCTATTGTCACCCACATTTACATCGGATTGGAGGAGCAAAGCAGAAGATGGAAAATGAGAGAATGAGAGCGGCCACACATAGAGTGGCTATCTCCTTTTTCTTACTGCTCAGAGTAGTACAGAGGTAACATGAATCCAAAAGAGAGAATCATAGTAGTGATCAGTTCTTTAAGTCAGAGCTAAGAGTACATATCAAGTTTACTGGAGGAAGGAGAAGTAGAGAAACCAAAAAGTAAGAAGATTAACCTCTATTTTATTAACAAGACATGACACTTGTCTCAGACTTTACTTCATTTAATCTTCCCAGCAAAGGGTAGGCATCTATACCCAAATTAACTGTCTTTTTCGTCAGATTCAGTAAAATATATTGCAGATAAAGAGTCTGCTTTTATTGTTTTCCAAAATTAAAACTTATTTAACCATATTTTATTACATTATTGTTTTATATTATAGGATTTTTTCATTCTATAAGTGAAGCCCTTAATGATTTAAAATGCCAAACCTAGACTTAACCAAACTTTACACTGAGGACCTGAAGAGAAGTGAGTAAATGGAGTAGTTTATGAGTTAATAATAGAGACCTCATTTTAGAATTAATGAAAGAACAAAAATTACTCACTGGTCCATATAAAGTAGAATTGTCCTAAGATAAGCAATAAAACACAGATATAGCCATAAAGTAAAATGTAAATGAACAAAATAAGCTTTTTAATGAACATTGCTTCATCTCTGTTGTGTAATTTTTTTCATTGTTCCTATAACTTGATCACTAGACTAATTTTTTTTAAACAATTAGTATGCATTGTTGGCATTTAAATTCTAAGCATGGCATCTTGGCACTTTAAGGAGACACATCATGAAAGTCATATCAGTTAGCTAAAGTAATTAATGTTTATCAATTTTTCTTGATATCCTTCATTTCTCACTCCATCTCCTTGATGGTTGGTTATAGCATTAAAATGTTGATATTTCTCCATGCTTCATATCCAAAGGCATTTATGAATTTAATTTGCCTTTTGCATTCTCATTTATATGAATTTATGGTAGGATGAAGTTGTACACATGGTAACTTCTACCAGCCTGGAGCACCAGCTGGTGGTACTTGGTTGTTAAATAATCACCCAGTTTTGTTTTTGTCATCTGGAGGAAAGAGGACTAATAATACATTAAAAATAAGAATTTTACAAATAATGATACTGAGCATAATGTCCTTGATAATATCTACTGAGGAGTAAAGTTAATCATCATTAAACATTTTTCATCTTCTCTATAGATTGATTAAACTGATTAACAAGAACAAATTTGCACATTAGTTTAGCAGGTGGACTGAAAAAACATACTAGTAGGTGGGAATGAGGTCATGAAATGCTAAGTTAAGAGTGACTATGGACTGTGTACTGTAACACACCCACTTGAATGATATATCATGGGTATTTTTATAACCTTTGCTGTATTATTAACTAAAAGTAAACAAGCTTAGTTTCTTTTCATGCTGAATATTATCTTTTATTCCTTTCAAGCAGTTTTCTTGTGTTTATATTAATTCAAATAATAATTCCAAAATGTTTTGAATAAAATTTTATGAAATTTTCCAAAATTATCCACACAAACTTATAAGAATGTCATCAATATTCAATTTCACAAATAAGGCAGCCAAGGCATAAGGAGTATTTCAGTCAAAATTACAAAGCCAACAAACAGGAGAATTTGGACTAGAATTCAGTCTCTTGAAATAAACCCATCGCTCTACATACACTGACCCATAGGCAATAGAATTAGAGACACAGATCATTGGCATTAATTACAAATGATCTGTGATTTTTGTTGTCTCTCCTGAATGCCATAGCCCTTATTTGCCCTTCTTGCATATCTATCATATTAATGATTTAGTTAGTTAACATATGTGTTTATCAGTTCACAATTAAAAGGCTGTGTTTTCATTGTTTTTTTTTTTCCTAGTTTCCATAGTAATCATTGGATATAGCCACCTAATGAGTAGAGTTGCAGTCTACACTCACTACAAGAGAGTGGAACCAAGATAACAGCCTCACTACAACAATTTATTAAAATGAGCAATGTAATTTCCATTTAAAGTATTACCTGTAAAAGTATGTCCATCCCAATTCTTAGATTTAACCCTATGGAAAAACAAATAAATAAAGCAATAAAAAGGGAATTCCATGACAAAAATATTCATCTTCAATGAAGTGTGGAATAATCACAAATAATGATTGTAAAGTGAAATTATACTAATCAAACCAAATGTTCACATATCAAAGTAGGAATAGGAACCTAGAAGTTACTGGCCAAAGTAGAAAAAGAAAGAGGAAGACAAAGAGAGAGAAAGAAAGAGAGTTCAAAGGAAAGAAGTGGGGAGAAAGAGAGAGCGAGATAAAGAGAAATCAATCAATCAATCAATCTCTGGAAGCAAACAACAGTAAGACTAATGAAACATTTAATGATATGGAATTCATTTTTTAAAATGAATATTCTATTATTTGATAAAAAAGAAGACCCAGACCCATATACTCTATCATGTGTGTGTGTGTGTTTGTGTGTTTGTGTGTGTGTGTGTGTCTCTCTTTGTCTGTGTATATGTATATGACTAGTTGGAAGTTAAAGCAAAAGAAAAAACCTAACTACTTGTAAAGTACAAATCAAAAGAAATCAATAATGCTATTATTAATGAGAAATGAGGTCAAATTTAATAAGAGCATAAAATGAAACAAAGTTTTATAATAAGCAGTAAAAATCTACAATAATAATCATAAAATTTTATGTATGAGACTAGAATTTATATAGCAAACTTTTCAAAAATAAAAAGGAATAAACAAAACTTAAATACAAAGGATTAAACAAAACATTTGTAGTAAACTGAAATTCTATCTATTCCTGATTATGTAGACACAAATGAGTAAATATATTGGAGACATTAATAACATTTAGAATACTGTACACTAATAAAGATACAATTCTTTTTATCTCTCTCTCTCCCTCTTTTCACACCCTTAAACACACACATACATTTAAATGCATTTTATGTCCTGAACATCAATAATGCACTTTCATTTCCTATGCCCATTATAATGGTTAAATTTTACATGTCAAATTGATTGGGCTACAGGATGCCCAGATATTTGGTCAAACATTATTCTGGATGTAGCTTTGAGGTTAATTTAGGATTAGATTAACATTTGAATCGGTAAGCACTGTAAAGCAGATTGCTCTCCCTAATGCATGGATTTGATCAAATTAATTGCAATCCAAAGAGAAGAAAAAGGCTGAGCAAGAGGAAACATCTCCTGCCTGATTGCTTGAGCTGGACCTCAGTGTTTTCCTGCCCTAAGACTGGCATTTACACAAACTCCCCTGGTTGCCAGGCCTTCAGATTCTAACTGAAACTACCCCATCAGCACTGTTGGGTCTCCAGCATGCTAACTGCAGATCTTGGGACTTCTCAGCCTCCAGAATTCCAAGAGCCATTTCCATATAATAAGTCTCTTTCTCTATATCTATATCTATACCTATACCCTATTTGTTTTGTTTCTTTGTAGAATACTGATTAATAATGTAAACCGTGAAACGTGAAAAGAGACCATGACTATTCTTCATACTTTAAGAAAGTCTGTAAGACTAGAAATAGTATAATATACACCATGTTTTCTGGCCATAATATAGTGAGGTTACCAGTTAATAAAAATATTAATAAACATTTCAATAACCTTGAATTTACCACAAAAAACTCCAAAGATGTAGATTTCTCTTTTTAAAAATTCATGTTGGCAGAGTGAAAATCAATACCTAAATTTGCATATTAACTGGAAAAATATATAATGACAACATAGTGTTTTCATAATTGAGGAAGTTAAAAGAAAATTTATGCTCATAACACTTTCATTTATATATATTTAAAAAAATGACTTAGACATTCAACTAAAAATGATGGAGATGGCCAAAATAAATGTAAGGAAAGATAAAAAATTAATAAAAATGAAAACAGAAGTAAATTAACAAAAAATATGTAATACATACAAATAATAGAATATTAAATATATAACAAAATTAATAAAGAAAAAGATAAGTAATTATAAAAGCATACAATTAAAAATAAAAATGACTAAGTAATCAGAATAAAAGCATATTGAAATTTGTTAAATAACGTTCAAATAAATTTGAAAATCCCAAGTAGGGATCATTCTAGAAATGTAAGCATGATACAAAATTATAAATTATCTATATATCTAGATTGATTTATCCACCTGTAAGAAATTATGGTAACATTTCCATACAGCTGGAAATCTTGTATTAATAAATAACAGAAAAATAAAAATGACAAAGTCAACAGAATAAAGGGACGTTGGAATTTGTTAAATAATGCTCAAATAAATTTGAAAATCTTGGTTGAAAAAAACAATATTCTGAGAAAATATATATGTCTATAATTTTCTATAGGAGAGCCAGAAAAAAATTGGCCTGTGATCATGGAAAGAATAGAACATTATGTGAGGGTTCTTTTCTTCCTGTGAGCATAAATGGCAAGCAGTTTGGCGAATAAATTTTACTAAATTGTCAAAACAGATAACCACATAATGAGGGTTAGAAATTCTAAAGCCTGAAGAAGGAGGAAATATCTTACATTCATTATTCTGAGTCTCCAAAATTTAAGGCCAAAAAATTTTAAGAATGGAGGTGAAACAAGACCAATTTTGCTTTTGAATGACAATATAAAATGCTAAATACAAGTATTGCAGATGTAATATAGCTGCATAGCATTAATTCATTTAGAGCAAATAGGGATCATTCTAGAAATGTAAGTATGATATAATATTAGAAACTATCGGATTTATTTATCCATCTGTAAAAACTATAATAACACTTTCACAAAGCTGAAAAATCTTGTAATAAACTATTCATTCCAGATTTTTAAATTAATAACTCAAACAATAGGTGTGTACCTTTCTTTGAAAAAATGACTATATTTCAAATCCAACATGATCATCATGCATAGCAAATTAATGCCAGAAAAATTCTTATTTAAGTTAAAGCAATAGTAAATGTTTCAAGTCACGAAAATGATACTAGAGAAAAATGTAGAAATTTAGTAAGACGAAGTCAAAATTGTTCTCAAGAAATATATATCATGTTTGAAAATCCAGAATAATGACTGAAAAACTGTTAGAAATAAAAAAGAAGACAATAACTTGTCTTTTTGTGAAATTAAGATATAAAAATCAATACTTTGGTTACATGAAAACGAAAATCTATTTCAACATATAATAAACAACTTTTAAAATATAACACTGAAGTTATAACACCTAGAGAAAATGTAAAGTATAAAAACATTTGTATAATAAATGGAATAAATAGAAATGTCTATAAAGAGTAGAATATATATTATAGTCAGTTCATAAAATAAAATAAAGTAATTAAGAGTAGTAAAATAATCCTTCTATACATAGTAATTTTAAAAATGAATTATTACTTCTAGCAAATTCTTAGATCAATTGCATAGAAAATATGGAGCAAAGAAGCCAAACACTATGATTTATCTTATCTAAAATTTTTAAATTTGCAAAATCTTTCTGTGGTGGTAGAAGTCAAAATAGTGATTACTTTTGGTGACACAAGTGAATGAAAGATGAGAAAGTGTGGCTTGTGGGGTGCTGGAAATGTTCTATATGATCGTCTGAGTTGCAGAGATACAGATGGTTTAACTCATAAAAATACTTCTCGCTCTAGCTAAGATTTTTATTGTTTTTGTTCTTTCATTCCGTTATTTATTTCAATGTTTTCCCCAAAACAGATTAAGAGTGCTTTCCAAACTTTTTAAGAAGATGAACATCCCAATAGAAGGAAATACATGACTCGATAATTTGCAAATAAAGATAAGCAAATGATTTCTTCTGAAGAAAAATTAATATAATAGTATAGAATTAATATTATAATAAGACAACATTTGTCGATTTTTGAAGACACAAAAGAATACCATATCAAGGTTTTATGAGACTGTGGTGGAATGACTTTCTGATAGATTTCTGTTGACTTTGTAAAAGAGTACAGCAATTGTAAAGTGCAATTTGGCTATTTATTTAAATCAGACAAATAAAGAAAACTTAAAATGACCATATTCTTAACCCAAATTCTGCTTTTTATCAACATGTAAGAAAAAAATTCAATGATAAACCATAACAATAAATTATGATATAACAATATGGGTGCGTGCTTATCAAACATTAAAAACATGTTGAAAATAACATTTTATAGCACCGGAAAAATCAAGAAAAATACATATTAATTGACCCAATAATTTATAAGATGGAATAGATAAGATAAAACTTATTTTGGGGAGAATAATGTTTATGCATATATGCAAATACCATATTGAAAATAACTTCACCATAATTATAGCTATCTCTGAGTAATTTAGCTATCTCTGAGTAATTTTCCATATTAAGTATTAATTATTAGTGTATCACACCAAAAATAATTTTAACTAAAACACATATTTGTACAACTAGGGCTAAGTGCAAAAACACACATGGTTCTGAATTCCTGAGTGCCTGACTACCTAGTGATTTTTGTGCATGTAAGGGATGATGAGGATGTATTAGAGCATTCACCGATCTTCCTTTTCATGTGATGGTTGTCTATTTCCAGAGCATAATTGGAGGCTTTAGCACATGAAATATGGGTTAATTTTCAGTCCCCACTCACCCCATACATGCAGTGTTCTTCTGCTGAGTAAAAGCTGCATAGCCATTTTCAGTAGGCTGATTATTTCTTAATGCCATGCAGGTCTGCTCCATGGTTTTCTCCTTATGTTCTGAAAAGCTGCCACTGACACAAACCCAGAACTGCTATCAGTTAGAACTTATAACCTGGAAGTTACTTCTAAATATAGATTAAACATGTTTCACCTCTCTGTGAAGGATATGTCAGAGTAAAACCTATGAGACAAGCTTGGGTACCTTCCTGTTGTTGGTGATAGTTTCTTACTCTCAGTCAAAGGAACATTCAGATTTTTTAGGAAGTCAGGCCTGTTTAACAGATGACATTTATTGACTTTTCTAGTCCTTAAAATTACATATGATTACTATGGCACACACTCTGACTTCTATATGTATTCTTTGTCAAATTAAGAAGTAAGGAATAAAAATTAACATTTATTAATCACCAGGCTTCTGTCAAATACAGTGCTGGACACTTCTTATTATGTAAAAATCTTTCATTCTCATGATAATGCTTGAGAGGAGGGAAAGTTGTTTTTTTTTTTTTTTTTTTTTTTTTTTACTACAGACCAAAAAACAAAGCTCAGAAAGATTAGAGACCTTCAAAATTATGAAAACTAGTTAACAGCAGAACTGCTATTTGAGAACTTATGCCTAATTCCAAAGATCATGATCTTCTAATATGCTATAATGGATAAATCCATATGTGCTGGAAACCTAGAACTTCCATTGGGAGGCAGTACAGCATAATAGTCAGGACCTTGTGCTCCAAAGAGCCTGACTGCCTTGGTCCGAATGCTAATTTCAAAATTTACCAGCTATATGGCTTGGGGAGATAAACTTATTTAATATCTCTAAGCACTACTCTCTGGGTATAAAAATAGTTTATACCTTGCCAGGACATTAAGTGGAGTAAATTAATGAAGCTAATTACTAAAATTAACTAATGAGAAGAATTTAGTAGTGCGTGGCACATAGTGCTTACAAGTATTGGCTATAGCTTTGATTTTGTTTTGATCTTATTTTTAAATATTCATTTTCAGATACATAACATACTGATTTATTTAATAAATCATTTTATGATTTCATCTACAGACAGGAGATTCAATGAACACATTTACTGAAGTAATTTTCTATCAGTAACTAAATTATTTCAGCAGTAGGTATAAAGTCCTACTGAAATTGTTTCCTCAAAAAAATGATACAGTTCCTTGCTGTATTTATTCATGCTTTTTAGAGAGATAAAGTAGTGTGCAGGCTTATTAAATCTTTATAAATTTGGTCAATTCCTAATTTTACTGCTGCAAATTTAAAGGATGCCAGATGGTGAGAACATTCATTTAACAGATTCTCTACTTCAGAATTATATAAAAAAGATAAATATATATTGCTAACAGAGATACTTCTGATCAGAAGAGTAAAAGAAAGTGTTTGGACACAAATAAACTCAGTTAACACCCTCCAAAGAGTATTGAAAATTTAAAAAAGTAATATTTAGTATAAAGTTACACATTAGTAGAAAACCTGTATTAATGAGTGACTTCGAGATTTCGCACTGAAACTCACCACTGCTTTTAAGAGTATAATCTTTCATTGCATCATGAATCAAATTTGATATTTTAATTTCTAAAATATTTTGTTTAATGTTACACAATTTCTTACCTGCATTAAGTAAAGAGAATTGGACGAACATCATGTGTTGCTTTGTGAAACAGATTTATCAATATTTAAAAGTTTTTAATAATTTCAAAATTATTTCACCTCCCAAATCCATATGGCTGCTATAAGAAAAGACTGACATTGTTTCTCATCTGTAGAATTTCTTTTTATCTTCTTCTTGGTTATAGTGTTTATCCATGTTTACTATTACTGAGGCACTTTTTCAAAAACCATTTGAAACTTTTCAAACATTTGAATGAATTCATTTGAGTGGAGAAGAAAAATAACAACAGAAAATGAGAATGAGTATAACTTCTAATAGAATTTTAAAATTATTAGAATAAAGTGTAAGGGCTGGCTCATTTTTCTTTTTTTTTTTTTTGCCCTTGCCTTTGCCTCGAATGCACTTCATGAAATATCACTTAGTGTATCTGCACTATCTGTAAAAAATAAGTAAAGATTTCTTATAATTACCTTTCTGAAGAATTTGAATGAGAATTTATGGCATTATGCCTATTACATGGTTCAAAGTCTTTGAGAAACACATTATTAGAAACAAATATAAGAATTATTTATTTGCATATATAACAAATATTTATTCAGAACCTACCATGAAACAAGACATTTCACAGCTCTGGGACAGCAATGAAAAATATTTTATCTGTTCTTGTGTGCTGGCTGAGGTGAGGGGATGTTCAATAAATAACAAATAAATAAATCAGCAAAGTAATCTCAGAGAGTGTTTAGTTTTATGAAGAAACTAACATTGAATGAGATTGAAGGAGGGAAATACTCAGATTGAGACCTTAGATCTGAGAAACTAAACGAACATGCTACTTGGAGATCCAGATTAAACTATTCAGGACCTAAAGGAGAGTCTCTGCAGTAGAAAAAGCTCTGGGGAAGAAAAGGTAGACTATATTTGTAGCGTCAGAGTGACAAAAAGAAGATAATGTGGCCAAAACCTAGATACCCAGACAAAGTAGTTGGAGATCAGATCTTGCTTAGGTCTGGAAAGTTTCTTTTTAAAAAGATCATTCTAGCCTCTTATTTGAGAATGGATTGTATTGAAGAAAAAGAGAATTTCATTATTGTGATCACATAGGTAAGAAAGGATCTTGACTTATATCATGGAGGCCGAAATGCAGACGAAGAAAAGTAGACAAGTAATAAGAGATAATGTAGGTATTATCCAAGGTGAACTGAATATCAAAATCTGAGGGATATAGAGGAAACAAACACGACTCCTATCTTTTGTTTCTGGACAACAGACTGGGTGATACTGTCAGCTACTGAGGCAGGGAGGAACGGCTGAGGGGAATTAGGGTTCTCTCACTGTATATCAATGGTGTTCCTTTATCATCACATTCCTCATTTCACTTTTATTTTCTAGCCTATGTAGAGCGATGCTGATTTGACTACATTAATATATGTTCCTAGTTCCCAAATACTGAGAATTACCTGGATAAAGGAAGTTCTATTAAAAAAAAAAAAAACTTCTGTTAGGAAACTATAGGGGTGTTCCTCACACATGTGTTTCAGTTGGTACACAAACACTTGGATAAATAAAGAGAACAAACACAAAGACAATAACAATAAAACTAAAACAAGTTAAAGAAAAACCCCTTTCCTGTTCTTCCTTAAATAATCTAAGCCATAGTCCTTGTTCTAATTATCTATTGTTACATTACTAATAATCTCAAAATTAAGCATCTTAATGAAAACAATCATTAATTTTGCTCACAAATCTTCAATTTGTGCAGGGTTTGATAGGAATGGCTTTTTTATCTTTATGTAGCATCAGCTGATTGATGAAGTATGAAAGCTTCACTTTCAAGATGGCTCACTCACATAGTTGGCAGGTTGGTGTTGATTGTCATCTGGGAGCTCTGTTAGTGTGTCAGCTGGGTGCCTCAGTTCCTCTTTATGAGCTTTTGTGTGCTTCCTCACAAATTGGCAGTTTATTTCAATATGCAAGTGTTCTAAGAGGCCTGAAAGAAAGTACCAAGGCTTAGGACTTAGCCTAAGAAGTCCCAAAACATTCTTGGAATTTTCTATTACCCAAATAAGTTACTGAATCCAGCCCAGATTCAAGGAGAAGGGAATTAGACTTCACCTCTTGGGAGAAGTAGCAAATAATGTGTGGTCATCTTTAATCTACTACAGCCCATCTTAATATGTGTACAATGGTACTAATAAATGAATACATCAAAAAATATATTTTACTGATCTCCATTCTTGCACTAATTGCTATTAAGGACATTTCCAATGAACTTTGTATGGATACTAATGAATATGCCTGTCATCTGATGATAATTATAGCAAGGAAATCCATATATGTAAATAAACCATAAGCTCAATTGCAGGTGATTATGACAAACCAAGTTTTTAAGTAGAATTTCCATTACAATAATTCAATGCTAGAAAACAATTTGAAGTGCCAAATAATGTTCAGTTTAGTTCTTGTCCTCAGATAACATTTTTTCTAATTGCAGTTCTTGCTTTAGAGAACAGCAATTAGAAAATTACACATGCAAAGAAAAGAGGCCCAGAAAAGGCCTTGAGTTTCTGGCTCACCATTGTTAATGTAGTCATACAATCTGTCCTTACTTATTAGGTAGTTTAAGTAGAGAACAGCTGAAAAGGAAGGCCCATTTAAAATGAAATTACAGGAAGGCAGAAAAGACTTTGATAAATATATTTGAAAGAGTAGTATTTTTTCACCTGTTCACGTGGTGAACATCTGTGGTTTTTTGGCAATTTGTGTTTCCATTCCTGAAAGAACCTCTTAGTTCAAAGACTCGTCGTCCCTTGTATCTATTTCTTTGAAGTGTTCTCTTGGATCTCTTAAACTATGGGTAGCCAAATGATTTTGGCATCTGGGATATAGATTCATTACAAATCAAGTCTCAGTATTCAATATTTTATCTTCTGGTCTGTCGCTATCTGCTTATGCTTTTAACCAAGTTTTTTGACACACTGCTTAGGCTTGCAATTGAGTGAGAGCACCATATTCACGGGCAAAGCAGCAGTGTAACGTAAGAGTCTTCATACAAAAATTTTCAAGTGAAAAAGTGGAATAAAGATGGTGAAATTTTTAAGTGATGGTGATAATATATAATAGACAACAGAGAAGGCATTCATGCTGGCAGAGTGAGATTCTCTAATATGCTTCATGAAAGTGATTATGCCACCTAATTTTGAAGTTGATCAATAGTGAAATGTAGCTGGCTCTTGAAATTTAGTTCTAGGAATAAGGTTAAACTTCCTCTTGGTTCAAGTTATGACTAGAACAAAGTATTTTAACGTTTGCCATTAAAGAACTTCAAATAGTTCCATATAAGGATTAGAGAGACTTATGATTGAGAGTCTTTATAATGATTCTAGGTTTAAAAAACTGAGGCATTACCACTGGCATAAGCATTTAACATGCAGGGTTACTGGGTTGTATCAAACCTTAGGGTTACCACAATTCTCTTCAGATCCACTACCCTGCATTTAGAAACAACCTTAGCTCTCTCATAGCTCTAATTAAATAAATATTGGTCAACACTGGAGATATTGATACCATTCTGATTTTTTTTCTGAAATTAAGAAATTTCAAGGGGGCATATTATTATTATACTGTATGTATTTATTGAGTTGTTCATTTTTAACATAGTAAAATTAATAAATTTATTCCTCAGAATTTTTAAAAGTAAATATTTGAAATTGCTCTCATGGAAAGTCAACAAAGCATTGAGAGAACTAGAGCTTTATAATAAAGGAAAGATGATTAAAACTCAGGCAATGCAGTAATACAACCAAGTATTGAACTGATCTTGCTCCTATGAATAAAGAGCATTATATTGCTTTCTCATTTATTGTCCAGAACATTTTAACTCAGAGATAGGAAGTGTGTTTGTTAAGGTAATTCTAGGATTGCATTCAGCATACTAATATATTTTGATTCAAGGCACAAGAATAGTGATAAATGACCCTCTGGATTTTTTTAGAGAAAAGATAAGACCTGGACATATTTCATTTCTGAGGCAGGAAAATATGCCTACTTATGTCAATTTACTGTTTAGTATATAATATTCTTACAGGGACTCCATTTTTACATATAGAAATATTTACCTAAGTTACTTCATCTTAGTAATGACTTAAGGATAATTTGCACTACATTATGACCATATATTCTTTTGTTATTCTTCTAATCTGCCTATGGAAATATAGTTTTATTTCTAAAACTGAAATAAGGTGATTAAATTAATTTTAAATTACATTTTTAGTTGTGTTTCCCTTGAAATATCTTCATAATAATAATGAGTATAACAATGATTGTTAATATGTATTGATCAACTATGTGCCTGGTAATGTTCTAAAAGTTTTACATTTATCAATTTATTTAAGACACACAGAAATCCCTAAAATATACATAGTATTTCTATATCAAATTTAATTGGGAGAAGTAAAATACAGAAAGTTTAAAATACTTTCCCAAGGTCACAAAATTTACAAGTATCAGAGTCAGGATTTGAACATATGAAGTCTAATCCCAATGTCTGTAACTTAAATCTCCTGACTGTACTACTCAAGGCGTTCGGTTCCTGGTTAAAATCTTTTGTGTGATTTTTCGGGCCTACCCTAGGCAATTACAAAAGATTTACCTGGCAGTTCTCACTGGAGAAAGCTGCCGCTCATCCCTGACACATAAACCAGTGTTTGTGTGCAGCCAATGTATTGCAGTTAAAGATTCAGAGTCCCCTGGCCAATCTTGCTCTTAAGTGTGTTTGCATTTCTACCACAGTTATGTGTATTCCTAATCTCTGTACCTGAGGCCATGGATAGAAGTCTTTTTCAAGCCTCCTTATGATGATAAACAGGGGAGAAGGGGGGAAACTTTTCTTCACTCTGACTCAGTATCCAGTACTTTGTCACTTCTAGACCTTCCTCCTCATCCTCCAACCACCTTCCCCACCCACCTGATTACAAAGTCCATTTGTTCAGGGCTCCCTCAACAACTAAGACTCCTCCCGCATGTACTGACCCACCTAACTATTCCATTCCATAGTAGAAAATGGGACACCATTCCATAGTAGAAAATGGGACAGGCTAGTTTGGTGCTTTCTTCAGTTTAGACTCTTGTTTATACCTTGGTATAAGTGGTTAAAGGCTTAGCTTTCAATTTTGGCTTGTTATTTACTGGGCTCCTGTGAAACCTGGCAGCTCCTCTCTTTCTTACAACTCAGCAGAACTATGGATACTACTTTCTACAGTCACTCTTATCGTATAATCAGTTGTAAGTTTCAGAGGGTGAGACTAGTAGTCTTTGCAAACGTTTAAGTGAAAACCTGTTGCTGTCATGGACTAAGTCAGTGGAGTATAATGGAGAAAAGTAGACATATTAGAGATATATGTAATAGGTAGCACCAACAAGGCGTGATGATTGTAGATAGGAGAGTGAGGATGACAGATTAAAGGTATATTAGAGGCTGAATTCTGTTCCCCCGAAACTTACATACTGAAGCCTTTGCACCCAGTAACTCAGAACAGGACTGTATTTGGAGACAGGTCTTTCATAAGGTAATTAAAGTAAAATGTGATCATTAATGGAGTCCCTAATCCCAAACGACTGGTACCCTTATATGAAGAGGAAATTTGGATACAGACAGGTATAAATAGAAGACAATATGAAGACACAGGAAGAAGACAGCCAGGTATGAGCCAAGGAAAGAGACCTCAGATGAAACTAACCAAGTGAATATTTTGATCTTTGACTTCTTATCTCCAGAACTGTGAGAAAATAAACTTCTGTTGTTTAAACCACCCAATCTGTGGCACTTTGTTACTGTAATCATAGCAAATTATTAATAATACAAAGTGATGTCTATTTTCTTTTCTTTAATTAGAAAACTGCATGTTTGGTAGTTGTGTTCCCTTATATGTGAAAGTTAGAAATAAAAATGATCTGGGAAATGGGAAGCAGATTATGGGTTCCATTGAGATTGAGATATCATTGTGCACCCAAATTGGGAAGCCATGTAGACAACACAACATATGGATCTGGGGCTCAGAAAAATGTTTATACCAGAGATAGCAGTCTACAAGTTGTGAAGTAGTATGTAAAATACTTTTAAACCTTATATAAAAAGTGAAATCATTCACAGTATCTATAGACCATGGATGCTGCTATGTAGACTTATGGTTCTATAGATGTATTCTGTGCAGTGTTGTTTGGAGCTTCCTACAAAGGAGTAAAGATAAAGCTAGTGTCAGTGCTTAAGAAACATGCATCATGAATGCAGAAAATATACTTTGAGATTAAGACAAAATGCTCAAAACACAAGGCCAGAGTCAGTGAAGGTGACCTACAGGTGTAATGAGTTAATCCTCATTTAAGCATATCCAGATTTTCAAGAAAAACAGTAAACCCTAAAAACGAAGGGAAACATTTAGAGAAAAAACACTGATAATCATTTAGAGTCCACTTAATATCCATTTATAGTAGTTTTACAATTCCACTTTTGACAGAGCATCTGTGACTACCATTGCAGAAGGGATTCAGCCAGAGGAGCAGGATGTCAGCAGTGGAACACACATCTTCAAGAGCAAGTAAGTCTGGGTACTACATTGTGGCAGCAGCAGTGTGTAGGCTTACTAAAGAAGGAGAGAAGTCAGGAAAAAAAATAAATAATAAACACATTTGCTCTGGTGTTATAAGAAACAGTTCTACAGCACCTGACTGGCAGGGACAATGGACTAAAAGAGAGAACAGGAATTTTTTAACATTCATTCCCCTTGATTCTACACATTAACACATGTAAAAAGACAAATTCAGACACACAAAAAAATGTATGCTTTTGTGATTTCGAATCCTCCTATAATTTCATAGTTGGTAAAGTGACTTTTGATTTTAATCTAGGTGCTTGCTTTTCCCCCTTTGGCTTGAGAAGATAAAAAGTTTTAATAACTCTGCTCTCAAATTCATGAATTATTTTCCGATATATTTGACCCCAATTCAATGGTCTCCAATGATTTGAATTCCTTTTCCTTCGTATTCCTTTGTGGGGATGGCAGATTTTTGAGGTGCATATATATACTTTTGCAATGAACATAGTAAAAGATTTAATTTCAAGAATCAGAACATAGAAATCATCAAAATTTCACTAAGTTATTTCCTGAAACTGTGGAAAACATCATGCATTTCTGTTTACTTTTTGAACATATAAAATAGGCTATTGTAAACTATGATGTGGAAAAACACACTCAGCAATGGCAAAGCCTTTTCAGAATTAGCCTCTCCAAAAGTTTACAACTTTTCAAGTAGTTGGAGTGCTGCTTAAAAATATCAAACTGCAAAGATGCACTTCTAGAAATTATAAGTAATTTGTCCATCAAACAATATGTACAATAGTACTATACAGTAAATTGGACCAGCTGCCTATGCCTACCATTACAGCTGGTTGCAAAGTATATAATTTATGTTTTCTGCAGTCGAAAGTGGGAAGGTTTTTTAAAACTGTGTTCATGCTTTTATAAAAAGATTTTTCCTGTTTTATTTTTTTAACCATTGTAAGCTCAGAAGAGGTGGCATTTTGTCATTATGTTTAATGTTAATCCATTTCTATTATAGATTGAAGGGTTTATCAAAATACTTTGCTTATGACCTCTTATTCCATCCTTATACGTAGATGATTTAGACACATTTAACATCATGTTTTTCTTAAAATATAAACCTGTTTTCCGTTTAAAAAAGGGATTGGGAATAACTAATGGAAGGATACTTGATAGCAAATAATTAGTTCTTAAACTTCAGGAAATGACATGTATTGCACTAAGAAGTTAAAGAAACAATGATTTCTATTGGTGAACTCTGAAAAAGCTTCTGAATGGCACTTTTGTAATTTCTTTTGCTATTTCTTAGGACTACATTTTTTTAGTTGATAACAAATAATATGGAGGATATTTATACATTAATCATTGGCTTCCAGTGTGTTTAACAAAATGTTTCAAAATCTGAGGGAAAGATTAGATGTGGTACAAGTGTTTAGAAAAATAATCTCTGACAATTTTTGATGTTCAAATAAGTTTTATATAATTACCATACACTGTAAATATGGTTTGAAAACAAAAGGACCATGGTATAGTCTGAACGTTTGTGCTCCTCCAAATTTAAATGTCTAAACCGGCTGTGGTTCGAACGTGTCCCTTCCAAAACTTAGGTTTTGAAACTAAAAGGCCAATGTGATGGCATTGAGAAATAGGGCCTTTAAAAGCTGATTAGGCCATAAGGACCCCTCCTTTTTGAATAGGATTAAGGCCCTTATAAAAGAGGCTTCACATAGTATTCTACTTGCTTGTCCTTCTACCTCCTGCCACATGAGGATCCAGCAGTTCTCCCCTTCAGAGGATGTAGCTTCAAAGCACCATTTGGAAGCAGAGAGCAGTCCTTTCCCGACAACCAAACCTGCTAACACTTTCATCTTTGACTTATTTGCCTCTAAAACTATGAGAAAATAAATTTCTCTTCTTTACAAATTACCCAGGCTTTGGTGTTTTGTTATAGCAGAACAAATGGACTAAGACAAAACCTAATCCCCAATATGATGACATTAGTATCTCACCTAGGATATTATCTTACCATACAATCTACAATTTCACTCCTTGGTATTTACCAAAATGTATCGAAAACATACGTTCACACAAAAGCCTGTATACCAATGTTTAAAGCAGCTTTACGCATACTTGCCAAAACTTGAAAGCAACCAAAATATCTTTCAGTAGGTGAATGAATAAATAAGCTGTGCTACATCTGGAAAATGGAATATTATTTAGTGTTAAAAATAAATATGCTATCAAGCTGTAAAAAGATATGGAGGAAACTTAAATGCATGTTACTAAGTGAAAGAAGCCAATCTGAAAAAGCTACATACAGTATGATTCTAACTATATCACATTCTGGAAAAGGCAAAACTATGAAGATATTTAAAAGATCAGTTATTGCCTGGGGATAGAGGTGGGAGATAAATAGGTAGAAAACAGGATTTTTAAGGTAGTAAAACTATTCTCTATGATACTGTAATGATGGATATATGTCATTTTAAACCCAGAGAATATATAACCTCAAGAGTGGACTCTAATGTGAGCTATGGACTTTGGGTGATTATGATGTTTCATTCTAGGTTTCATTAGTTGTAACAAACATCTCGCTCAGGTAGGATACGTGAATACTAGGAGAGGCTGTGTATGTGTGGGGATGGGGAGCAAATGGAATCTCTGAACCTATCTTTTCATATTGCTTGTGGACCTAAAACTTCTCTGAAAATAAATTATTAAAAAAAGAGAGAATGTAAAACAAATGTGCTGAAAGTTCTGATCTCCTTACCCTTATAGTATTCACTGTCTATATGTGAATGTATTTGGTCATACTATTTTCTTGTATTCTAGAATTTTTTAAAAAGCTTCATTTTGAAATGTAAAATATCTGTCCCATTTTAAAAATGATTCTTTAAATAATTTGAAAAAAATTAATATTTTGGCTTGGGTTGTAGGACATTTTTTAACTCAACAGTGTCACAGAAAGCCCAAAATGTAGATTAATATTTACTATGAATGTTGATGGTTTATGAAATTTTACTGATGATTTTATAATTTTAAAGGTAAATTAACATAATCAAGTTTAATTAAATTTTAAGGTTTGGGGTATAAATAAAGATATTATCCAAGTGTTTTCAAACAATTATTGTACATTCAGAATATAATCAAATTAGTTTTAAATAAATTATATCACTCCAATGATGAAGATTCAAGCGATATGACTTAATGAGTGATTTATGTAACTGGAAAAAAAAACATTAATTGTGACCTGGCTGACTTTATTAATTTACACCTCCTGAAAGTAAAATGTGTCTGCATATTTAAATATCTAATAAAATTCTATGAGAAATATTACCAACTATTTTGTTTTTTTGTTTTATTCATTCACTCATCTGGCTTAATTGCAGTTTTATTTTGACTAACCATTCATAACAAGAAATATATTCTCAACAATTTGTCCAGGTATCCAGGGTGCAGGGAACCTAATGGGAGGATTCAATCCCTGTGCACACAAGTCCATGTGGAAGGCTCTGATGTGTGTGTGCATAGGGGGTGAGACCCAGGCCTACTGTGAAATAGAAGAAAAAATTTCCTACCTTATGGCAGTATAAAAGGAAAGAAGTTGCCTCTTCGAAAAAGCTATCTCCCACAAGAATTTACTCTAATCCTTGCCATGCTAGCAGTTAAGACTGCAGTAGGAGAGGACCAACTTGGGTTACCAGTAGCCTGCCTAATGTAGAAGATAAATAAAGGTGGGGGTGAGGAGAAACAGAAGCAAATATTCCTTTAAAGTTAATCCTTAGAAAATGCTGTTAGTCTATTTTTTTGAGCAATAGTTTTTGCAAACATATAATTATGAAATTTATATATTTATGTAATTTTATTCAACTAGCTTCTTTTCTTTTCTTCTTCTTATACTTTAAGCTCGGGGATATATGTGCAGAATGTGCAGGTTTGTTAAATAGGTATACACATGCCATGGTGGTTCCCTGCACCCATCAACCTGTCATCTACATTCGGTATTTCTATTAACGCTATCCCTCCCCTAACTCCCACCCCCCAACAGGCCCTGGTGTGTGATGTTCCCCTCCCTGAATCCATGTGTTCTCATTGTTCAACTCCCACTTATGAGTGAGAACATACATATGGTGTTTGGTTTTCTGTTCTTGTGTTAGTTTGCTGAGAATGATGGTTTCCAGCTTCATCCATGTCCCTGCAAAGGACATGAAATCATCCTTTTTGTGATTGCATGGTATTCCATGGTGTATCTGTGCCACATTTTCTTTATCCAGTCTATCACTGATGGGCATTTGGGTTGGTTCCAAGTCTTTGCTATTGTGAACAGTGCTGCCATAAACATACATGTGCATATGTCTTTATAGTAGAATGATTTATAGTGCTTTGGGTATATACTCAGTAATGGGATGGCTGGGTCAAATGGTATTTCTAGTTCTAGATCCTTGAGGAATTGCCACACTGTCTTCCACAATGGTTGAACTAATTTACACTCCCAAGAACAGTGTAAAAGCATTCCTATTTCTCTAGCATCTGTTGTTTTCTGACTTTTTAATGATTACTATTCTCACTGGCATGAGATGGTATCTCATTGTAGTTTTGATTTGCGTTTCTCTAATGACGAGTGATGATGAGCTTTTTTTCATATGTTTGTTGGCCTCATAAATGTCTTCTTTTGAGAAGTGCTTTTTCATATCCTTCACCCACTTTCTGATGGAGTTGTTTGTTTTTCTCTTGTAAATTTGTTTAAGTTCCTTGTAGATTCTGGACATTAGCCCTTTGTCAGGTGGATAGATTGCAAAAATTTTCTCCCATTCCATAGGTTGCCTGTTCACTCTGATGATAGTTTCTTTTGCTGTGCAGAAACTCTTTAGTTTAATTAGATCCCATTTGTCAATTTTGGCTTTTGTTGCCATTGCTTTTGGTGTTTTAGTCATGGTCTCTGCCCACGCCTATGTCCTGAGTGGTATTGTCTAGGTTTTCTTCTAGGGTTTTTATGGTTGTAGGTCCTTATGTTTAATTTTAACTCTTTACTCCATCTTGAGTTAATTTTTGTATAAGGTGTAAGGAAGGGGTCCAGTTTCAGTTTTCTGCATATGGCTAGTCAGTTTTCCCAATACCATTTATTAAATTGGGAATTCTTTACCCATTGCTTGTTTTTGTCAGGTTTGTCAAAGATCAGATGGTTGTAGATGTGTGACATTATTTCTGAGGCCTCTGTTCTGTTCCATTGGTCTATATATCTATTTTTGTACCAGTACCATACTGTTTTGGTTACTGTACGCTTGTAGTATAGTTTGAAGTCAGGTAGCGTGATGTCTCCAGCTTTGTTCCTTTGGCTTAGGATTGTCTTGGCTGTACAAGCTCTTTTGTGGTTTCATATGAAATTTAAAATAGTTTTTTTCTAATTCTGTGAAGAAAGTCAATGGTAGCTTATGGGGATAGCATTGAATCTATAAATCACATTGGGCAGTATGGTCATTTTCATGATATTGATTATTCCTGTGTATGAGCATGGAATGTTTTTCTATTTGTTTGTGTCCTCGCTCATTTCCTTGAGCAGTGGTTTGTAGTTTTTCTTGAAGAGGTCATTCACATTACTTGTAAGTTGTCTTCATAGGTATTTTATTCTCTTAGTAGCAATTGTGAATGGGAGTTCACTCATGATTTGGCTCTCTGTCTATTATTGGTGTATAGGAATGCTTGTGTTTTTTGCACATTGATTTTTTTATCCTGGAGATTTTGTGAAGTTGCTTATCAGCTTAAGGAGATTTTGGGCTGACACGATGGAGTTTTCTAAATATATAATCATGTCATCTGCAAACGGAGACAATTTGACTTCCTCTCTTCCTATCCAAATACCATTTATTTCTTTCTCTTGCTTGATTGTCTGGCCAGAACATTCAATACTATGCTGAATAGGAGTGTTGACAGATGACATCTTCGTCTTGTGCTGGTTTTCAAAGGGAATGCTTCCAGTTTTGCTCATTCAGTATGATATTGGCTTTGGGTTTATCATAAATAGCTCTTATCATTTTGAGATACATTCTATCAATACCTAGTATATTGAAAGTTTTTAGCATGAAGGGACGTTGAATTTAATTGAAGGCCTTTTCTTCATCTATTGAGATAATCATGTGGTTTTTGTCATTGGTTCTGTTTATGTGATGGATTATGTTTATTGATTTCTGTATGTTGAACCAGCCTTGCATCCTAGGGATGAAGCCGACTTGATTGTGATGGATGCGCTTTTTGATGTGCTGCTGGATTTGTTTTGCCAGAATTTTGTTGAGGATTTTCACATAGATGTTCATCAGAGATATTTTCCTGAAATTTTCTTTTTTATTGGATCTCTGCCAGGTTTTGGTATCAGGATAACGGTGGCCTCATAAAATGAGTTAGGAAGGAGTCCCTCTTTTTCTATTTTTTAGAATCATTTCAGAAGGAATGTTACCAGCTTCTCTTTGTACCTCTGGTAGAAGTCAGCTCTGAATCCGTCTGGTCTTGGGTTTTTTTTGTTGTTGTTGTTGGTAGGCTATTAATTACTGCCTCCATTTTAGAACTTGTTTTTGGTCAATTTAGAGATTCGACTTCTCCCTGGTTTAGTCTTGGGAGTGTGTATGTGTCCAGGAATTTATCGATTTTTTTCTAGGTTTTCCAGTTTATTTGCATAGAGGTGTTAATAATATTCTCTGATGGTAGTTTGTATGTCTGTGGGATCAGTGGTGATATTATCCCCTTTATTATTTTTTATTGTGTTTATTTTATTCTTCTCTGTTTTCTTCTTTATTAGTCTAGCTAACAGTCTATTTTGTTAATCTTTTCCAAAAACCAGCTCCTGGATTCATTGATTATTTGAAGGGTTTTTCATGTCTCTGTCTCCTTCAGTTCTGCTCTGATCTTAGTTACTTCTTGTCTTCTGCTAGCTTTTGAATTTGTGTGCTCTTGTTTCTCTAGTTCTTTTAATTGTGATGTTAGGGTGTCAATTTTAAATCTTTCCCACTTTCTACTGTGGGCATTTAGTGCTATAAATTTCCTTCTAAACACTGCTTTAGTGTATTTGAGTGTTAGTCTGTCTTGCTAGGTTGGTGAGGTTCTCCTGAATAATATCCTGAAGAGTGTTTTCCAACTTGGTTCCATTCTCCCTGTCACTTTCAGGTACACCAATCCAACATAGGTTTGGTCTTTTCACATAGTCCTATATTTCTTGGAGGCTTTGTTCATTCCTTTTCATTCTTTTTTCTCTAATCTTGTCTTCACTGTTTATTTCATTAAGTTGATCTTCAGTCTCTGATATCCTTTCTTCTGCTTGATCGATAAGGCTATTGATACTTGTGTATGCTTCATGAAGTTTTTGCGCTGTGTTTTTCAGCTCCATGAGGTCATTCATGCTCTTCTCTAAATTGGTTATTCTAGTTAGCAATTCCTCTAACCTTTTTACAAGGTTCTTAGCTTCCTTGCTGCTTTAGCTTGGAAGAGTTTGTTATTGCCCACTTTCCGAATCCTCTTCTGTCAATTCTTCAAACTCATTCTCTGTCTAGTTTTTTTTTTTCCCCTTGCTAACAAGGAGTTGTGATCTTTTGGAGAAGAAGAGGCATTCTTGTTTTTGGAATTTTCAGCCTTTTTGCACTGGTTTTTCCTCATCTTTGTGGATTTATCTACCTTAGGTCTTTGATATTGGTGACCTTTGGATGGTGTTTCTGTGTGGACGTACTTTTTTATTGATGTTGATGCTATTACTTTCTGTTTGTTAGTTTTCCTTCTTACAGGCCCTTCTGCTTCAGGTATGCTGGAGTTTGCTGGGGGTCCACTTCAGACCCTGTTTGCCTGGATATCACCAGCTGAGGCTGCAGAACAGCAAATATTGCTGCCTGTTCCTTCCTCTGGAAGCTTCATCCCAGAGGGTTACCTGACAGATGCCATACGGAGCTCTCCTGTATAAGATGTCTGTCGATCCCTGCTAGGGGGTGTCTCCCAGTCAGGAGGCACAGGGGTCAGGGACCCACTTGAGGAGGCAGTTTGTCCCTTAGCAGAGCTCAAGAACTCTGCTTGGAGATCTGCTGCTCTCTTCAGAGCCATCAGGCAGGAATGTTTAAGTCTGCTGAAGCTGTGCCCACAGGCACCCCTTCCCCCAGGTGCTCTGTCCCAGGGAGATGGGAGTTTTATCCATAAGCTCCTAACTGGGGCTGCTACCTTTTTTTCAGAGATGCCCTGCCCTGACAGGAGGAATCTAGAGAGGCAGTCTGACTACAGTGTCTTTACCAAGCTTCAGTGGGCTCTGCACCGTTCAAACTTCCCCTCAGTTTTGTTTACACTGTGAGGGGAAAACCACCTACTCAAGCCTCAGTAATGGTGGATGCCCCTCCCTTCAGCAAGCTCCAGTATCCCAGGTTGACTTCAGACTGCTTTGCTGGCAGTGAGAATTTCAAGCCAGTGGATCTTGGCTTGCTGGGTTCCCTGGGGGTGGGATCTGCTGAGCTAGACCACTTGGCTCCCTGGCTTCAGCCCCCTTTCCAGGAGAGTGAATGGTTCTGTATCACTGGCATTCCAGGTGTCACTGGGGCATAAAAAAACTCCTGCAGCTAACTCGGTGTCTGCCCAAATGGCTGCCCAGTTTTGTGCTTGAAACCTAGGGCCCTGGTGGCATAGGCACCTGAGGGAATCTCCTGGTCTGCAGGTTGCAAAGACCATGGGAAAAGCATAATATCTTGGCCAGAGTGCACCATCCCTTACAGCAGTCCCTCACGGCTTCCCTTGGCTAGGGAAGGGAGTTCCCCAACCCCTTGTGCTCCCACAGTGAGGCGACCCCCCACCCTGTTTTGGCTCGCCCTCTGTGGGCTGCACCCACTGTCTAACCAGTCCCAGTGAGATGAGCTGTGTACCTCAGTTGGAAATGCAGAAATCACCCACCTTCTGCATTGATCTCACTGGAAGCTGTTCCTATTTGGCCACCTTCACAGCCCAACTAGTTTCTTTTCATTGTAAAGAAGATATCCCAGGTCTGAAGAAAATAAACATAATTGTTAAATGGGATCTCAGAAATATAATATTGATCCACTTAAAAATCAACTCATGGCCACACTAAAACTGCCATGCCATATAAGTATATATAATGTTACTGACAGTAAATAAAATGCTGAATTTTTTGCATGTTTTATCTCTTTAATTTCCTCTTCTTTGAGTCTGCCTTCATCTGCTTATCTAAAGATATGATACCATCAACCAGGATGTCCTTTTTAAGCCTTTTATCTCATCTATAATATAAAGATAATATTAACTCTGCATCTTTGTGATTGAGAATATTGGAGATGATAGTGCTAATGAGCCTAGCACAGACCTGTTTATTATACTATGCATGCTACTGTTAAAATCTCTCTGATGGTTTTTTCACACTCTGCTGCTCTGAGTAAGTAAATGAAAGGATGGTTGACTTTTTAAAGAGTAAAGTAGAATATGATTCCTTTCCATTGGAAAGTATGTAAGTAAAATATGTTATTCGTTGTCAGCTTGAATAAGGATAACTGATGCTGCAGAGCCAGAAGATTATTAATTTGGAATAACTAGAAATGGTTCAAATCCCAGCAGTGCTGTGCCAGCTATTAGTGGTCTGGGCTATAAGATTTATTTAACTTACCTAAGAGTCACCACACTCTTCTCTAAAGAACAGGAATTAAACCGCATATTTAGGCTTGTTATCATGCGGACTATCAAATTAAATATACTTATTACAAGTATAGTTGGCATTTTGGGGGAAAAGGGCCCTTTTTGTTTATTCTCATTATTTTTTTTCTCATTTTTAAACTTCTAGAAGAAAGGCTTTTACTTCTCACCAAACTGGTTTCTGTGGGCGGCCTCTTTGAAAAGTTGTTTATCTGTGCTAAATTATCATGACATACCACTCCTTTTTCTTGTTTACACGTACAATATTTCTATACTGAACGTTTACTCTCCGCATGTGGCTCCACATTGTCTTTCTTGATGAGCTCATAGGTAGTTTCCTGAGAATAACAGAACAGATTCCAAAATAAAGGTCAAATTCTACCTTGACTCTCAGTTCTGAATTTCAGATTTAGGTAAAAGACTGTTGTGTTGCAACTGAAGATGTCCTAGCAGGATTCCGCTTGAAGGAAGCACCTGTTGTCTTAGCTGGGGTGATGTGGTCAGCTGTAGATAGCCACCTCACCCATGTGTATGCCTTTCCTGAGGCAGCCTGTATCCAATGAAGAATTGAATCAATGTCATACAGGCCTGGCCATCCATTTCCACCCAACATGAAACAACTTTAATAAGCTTTTTGTTGTTGTTGTTCCTGTCACAATTGGTAATCCCAAGGTGACTAAAAAATAAATGTCCTGATCACTAATTCATTTTGGAATCCACTTGTAGAAGAATGCAACCTGCAAAAAATCTCTTGGACAGCTCAAAATCAATATTTTTAAAACTTGCATATTTTCCTCAAACTGGTTTCTCTCCTGGATTTTCTTTTACATACACCCCTCCCCTGGCTCACCCCCGGAATTTAAAAACAAAAAGGTTATTTATATTTTTAAATTAGCCTTTATTTGAAAACAATTATAGGTTTATATGTAGTATGAAATATGCAGCGAAAAAATAGAGAAATACTATTAACTTATTACCTAGTACACCCCAATGGTAATAACTTACAAAACTACAGCACATTATCACAATTAAGATATTGACAGTAATACAGTCAATATACAAAACATGTCTATTATCTAAAAGATCATTTCTGTTGCCCTTTTATAGCCATACTCGCTTCCCTCCTGCTCCCAATCCCCCCTTCATTTCTAGAAATCAATAAGCTGTTATTCATTTCTCTAATTATGTCATTTAAAGAATGTTACAAAGAATGGAATCCTACAGTATTTCACCTTTTGGAATGGAATTTTTCACACCATATACTTGTCTGGAGATTCAGCCAGCTCGACAATGCACTTCCTTTTACCAATGAATAATATTCTAGGGTATTGCTGAGTAATAGTCCATGTTTTGTTTGACCATTCACTTGCTGAAGAACACATGAGTTATTTAGTGCTATTATGATTAAAGCTGGTATAAACATTTGTGTACAGAAATTTGCATGAACATAAGTCTTCGTTTCTTTGGGAACATTTCCAGGAGTCCAATTGCTAGGTTGTGTGATAGTTATATTTTAAACTGCCGAACTGTTTTCTATAGTGGCTGTAACATTTTCTATTCCCAATAGCAATGTATGAGTGATTGTTTCTTTCTATCCTGGCCAAGATTTAGGGTTGTCATTATTTGTTTTTCACTTTTGCCATTCTGATAAGTATATAATGATATCCCATTGAAGTTTAATTTGCAATTTCCTAAGAAGTATTGAAGTTGAACAACTTTTCATGTTGTTATGTGAAACTTATCATCTTTAGATAAATGTCCTTTTGTGTGTGTTTGCCTATGAGAGTTCCTTATATATTCTAGATACTAGTTCTTTGATATATAATTTGAAAATATTGTATCCCATTCTTTTGCTTGTCTTTTATCCCACTTGACAGGAGCTATCACAGAGTAAATATTTTTAATTTTGATGGAATCAAATTTACCTTTTTTTTCTTTTATAGATCATAATTTTGGTGTCAAGTCTAAGAACATTTTTGCCAAGCCCTAGATAACGAAGACATTCTCCTATGTGTTTTTCTAACAATTTTACTCTCTTAAATTGCATATTTATGTTTGTAATCCATTTTTAGTTAATTTTTGTATGAGGTGTGTAATTTAGGTCAGATTAATTATTGTTTATTGATGTCCTATTGTTTCCACATGACTTGTGGAAAAGTGTGTCTTGCCATCATTGAATTGCTTTTGTACCTTTGTCAAAAATCAGTTGGGCATATTTATGTCAGCCTATTTCTAGATTCCCTATTCTGTTTCATTCATCTATGTGTATATTATTCCACCGATACAACACTGTCTTGATTACTGTAGGTACATATTTACTTGAAATCAAGTAGACTGATTTCTCACACTTTATTTTCTTTTTCAAAATTACTTCAGCTTTACTAGTTCTGTCTTTCCATGTAAACTTTAGGATAATATTGTACATATCTACAAAACCTATTGCTGGAATTTTATAGAAATTGCATTAAGCTTATAAATCAATTTTAACACAGTTAACATCTTTGCTATGTTAGTCTTTCAATCCTTGAACATGGTATGTCTCTCCATTTATTTGTTTGTTTTTTTCTCATAATGTTGTGTCATTTTCAGCATATAAATACTGTACATGTTTTGTTTGATTTACACCTAAGTATTTCATTTTGTTGGAGAAATATTGTAAACTGTATTATCATTTCTGTGTCCACATATTCATTGCAATTATAAAAGAGACACAATTATTTTTTCACCTTTATCATATATCCTGAAGCCTCGAGGGACTCATGTATTACTTCTAGATTTTTTAATAGACTCTTTAGGATTTTCTATGAAGACAATAATGTCACCTACAAATAGGGATTGTTTTATCTTTTCCCTTTGAATCTCTATGACTTTTAGTTTCTTTCTTGCACCTGCTAGAAATTCTAGCGCTATGTTTAACAAGTGTTCATGCAAAAACATATGCATAAATGTTTGTATCTGCTTTATTAATAATCTCATTATTATTTTACCTATAATGTTTAGGGATTTTGGTTGTACTTAGCGGGAGGAACAGGGAAAACTGCATCTACTCCATCCATTTGCAGATGAAAATCAGCTCACCAAGGACCTTATTTTTAATTACATATTTTTTTGCCTACTCACTCAATTAATTGGCATTACTTTAAAATTATATCTTACGAGAATTCTCATTTTATCTCTGTCTTCTTTACTTTGTGACTTCTAGTGTCATAGTGAAACAGGAGAGTTCCTTGATCCTCCTCAAAGGACGTGTGACAGGTGTCCTTCGAGGACTCCTGTTAAAAGGGGTGTGGCTCATCTGTTCTCAGTGGAAACTGCAGTGCACACTTAAACCGCTTTTGGGAAGGGAAGCACGCAGACTGGCAGGTGCAGGAGCGCGGACAAGCATCCCTGAGCTCCGGCTCCATGGCAGTGTCCAGGGGTGGGTGTCTGCAACTCCCGAAGCCCAAGTGGGTGTGTTTTACAGTGCGCTCTTTTAGCCTTGCTGTCCTGGGTGGCTTAAGTGTTAACCAGCTCAGTACCCTCTTGGTATCCAGGTCCTTGTCCAGCGTCCAGAAAGAACTGGGTCATATACGGACTTGAAGGGTCAATGCAGGGTTTTTAGTGAGTGGTAGAGGTGGCTGTCAGCGGGATGGATGGGGAGCAGGAAGGGGGATGGAGTGAGAAGATGATCTTCCCCTGGCATTTGACCATGAGAAGATGATATTCCCCTGGAGTTTGGCCATCCAGTAGCTGATCTTCTCTGTAACCATCGCCAGCTGAACTCCTCCGGATGTTCAGATGCTCGATTCCTTCCCTCTGCTGCACTCTGCTGCTGTTCTTCTGCTCTTCTGTTCATCTCCTCGTCTGCTTGTGAAGCTGGGGGTTTGGAGTTTATATGGGTACAGGATGCAGGGGTTGGTGGGCCAAAAGGCAACTTTTGGGCATGAAAACAGGAATGCCTGTTCTCATTTAGGGCCGCAAGTTTCCAGGCTTGAGGGTGGGGCCTTTGCCCGGGAACCACCCTCTTCTACCCAGTATTTCCCTGTCTCCTGTCTGTATCAATAGTTCAGACTGTGTACATTTACCCCCTGGATAAAGCAAAAGTTCCTCACTGCTGTTCCAAACTTAAGCCTTCCTCTGATATAATCTGTCCTCCATGAGGTTTCTAGAGTTATTTTTCTAAAATAAAGATACAATAATTTCACTCATATAATTGTATTTTAAACTACGCTATATTTTTATGTTTACATTAACTTTATCCCCAAATTATGTTTTCAACAGTTCCACTGAACACTCCTTACAAAGATGTTTAAATCTGGGTTTTCAGAAGTTAAGTGCATTCTACATACTTGCTCTTTTGAGTACTCCTCACTGTTGTCTCATGGTACTTTCTCCTTCCTTCCTGCTTTGTGCCTTTTGACATCTTTCTAAACCATAAAGTTCAAAGGTCACTTCCAAATCATTTAAATTTCATTATCATCTATTGTTATAAGAACAGTGTTAATATCTGATTTGATTTTTTAAAGGGGATATATGACTATTTTCCTCATCAAATTATAAACTACTTAAGGGAAAAGGTTTTTTCAATGTCCATCCATATGTTTCTGGGATCTAGCATGTTGGTGTGCAAGAGAACCTATCAATAAACCTTTATTTAATGAATTGTATTAATGTTTTAAATTTATCATGTTGCATCACATTCTCAAAGTTTGTTTTCCAATGCATAATTCATTATTCAAAATAGTGAAACTATTTAAAAATTTTATTTATTTTACTTTCTTCCATGATGATATTCTTCTATATATTAATCCTATAGTTTAGAAAATGCCTCCATTTTTTCACTGTTAATTCTACAACAGTATTAAACTTATCTTAACTTTGTGTGTCTGTGTGTGTGTGTGTGTGTGTGTGTGTGTGTGTGTGTGTAGGCTTTGATAGGAATAGTTGAACACCATGCCTGCCTATTAATTTGTATTTATGGATTGTTGTTAACAAGTCGGACATTTATATGAGACCTAGGAACAAAAGCCATTGCATTTTTTTCTTTCTGTTCTATGTAAAATCAAAGATTACAAGCCATTCTGAAGCATTTATTTTTCTCTTATCCCTAGGCAAGAAGTAAACTATGAATAAAGTTTGGCTTTTCAAGCTAAACCAAGCGGTATTTTCTTTAAATTGGATACTTTGTGGCTTTTTTTTGTTTGTTTGTTTGTTTGTTTGTTTGTTTTTGAGACAGAGTCTTGCTCTGTCACGAGGCTGGAGTGCAGTGGCGCGGTCTCAGCTCACTGCAACATCCGCCTCCCGGGTTCAAGTGATTCTCCTGCCTCAGCCTCCCAAAAGCTGGGACTACACGCATGTGCCACCACGGCCCAGATACTTTTTGTAGTTTTAATAGAGACAGAGTTTCACCGTGTTGGCCAGGATGGTCTCAATCTCTGGACCACATGATCCGCCTGCCTCAGCCTCCCAAAGTGCTGAGATTACAGGCGTGAGCCACGGCAACCTGCCACTTTGTACCTTTTTTAATTCAAAAGTACCTTTCAAAAGATATATTTGTCATTTTTTTTTATCAGCATGTAAAAATTAACTGATGGGCGTAACAGAAATTAAAATGCTCTGTTAAATTTTTATTGTAGATTACATATTGCCATATGCAACTTCTCTTACAAGTAATAGTATTCCAGTTCTCTATCTCTTTTCAAGTGTTATGCATTCTTTCGACTGTATCTTATGTAAATTATTTTCTTCTCCAACATATCTGATGAACTCTCTTCAGTCTGTGGATGATATTAAATTTGTTGTATCATTTAATGGGGAATTAAGTCTTCGATTTCTCTTGACAGTGCTTTTACTGCCATTTAACCATTACTTAAATATTAAATCACAATTTTTCAACTTATTTTTCTATACTTTGCTTTTTCATTCTATTGTGCATTCCTGGAAATCTGCAGTATACAGTAGATTACAAATGCATGCTAATGAAATGACTTAAATGATATTTATACCCGAAGAGCTCAGTAAACGGTCAATAGAAACCCAAAGGTTGCCTTTAAAAGCCTCTAGCAGTATCATTTTTTTTCTATTTTTGCCTTGAGAATATTGGCCAAACAACTGTTCAGAGTGTTTTTATTGTAATGAATATTCATATGGTCAGATCATGTGATAGTTAAGAACTTAACTCTCTGGTCAGATGGTCTCCATTCAAATGTTTGCTAAACCATTCTTATTACTCTATGATTGTGAGTAAATTGTTAACCTTTCTAATATGTATTTGTAATGAAGATAGTAACATTGTTTTATTATAAAACAGTAAAATTATACTGTACAATGTTGTGTTGAAGAAAAAGTCATCAAATTTCTCTTTGATCAAATCTCAGTAAATTAATTGTACTTTTGAGAAGTTTATCTTTCTGTACTTCAGTACTGTGAGGATGAAAAAAGGCAATGTATATAAGTAAGAAATAAACTTCCTACTTATAAGCATTTGGTATATGCTTATAGCCTCGTAGACATATGATAAATATTACTTGTTAATGTTGTTTTCTAAAGATGAGTATTTTGTTCCATTTACAAGTTACTATGTACAAATGATTAAAATTATTTGGTAGAATATTACCTGCTACTTCAGATCATTATTACTGTTTCTACTGCTACTATTCTAGGACATGGTTATAGCACCTGAAACTTTGAAGACAGATGACGAAAGCCCCAGTTTTCAGGGTTTTTTTCCTAAAGATACACGTATTATTATAAAGAGTCTTTATTATATCTTCAATAATGGGTATTATTAATCAATATAAAGTTGTTTCACCATGTATTATAACTGCTGAAATTGTTCATTTTCTTTTCAACAACAACAATCTACCTACATTTCTAGAATGCATGTTCAAGTTTAGCAAATCCTCATTCTATGAAAGACTGTAACAGTTAAAACACCACTCTCCTCAACTAATTTGCATTACCAATGCTGTGTTAAAAAAATAGTACTATTCTCTTTCATCAAACTTTGATAAATATTCTGTACTTCCGTGGAATGTATGTTACTGGCTTCCTTTATCTCATGGGCATGATTTTAGTTAGCGGGCAGGCTTTAGGGAAAGAACTTTGAAAGATCCTCTAAAGAATAAATTGTCTTTTTTCCTTGGCAACGGTCAGCTTGTCTTTGGTCTAATCCTAAAGAAATTGATACTCATATTTCTGAAGGTTGTGTGAAAATTTACATCATTGCTGCTCTAGCTTAATCTTATAGTTTGTCATCCCTCTAGGTTAGTATGTGTCCCAAGTGTTTGCAGAAAATTGAAATAGTGAAATAATACCAATTGAAAAAATGATTGCTGTTGTAGAATATTAATCTGTGGAGTTCAAACTCATTAATCTAGATCACCTCCCTTTGAGAGATCAGGAAACACATAGGACAATACAACTGAGAGAAGGGTCAGATTGCAAAAAAAAAAAAAATTAAAGTCATATTAAAAATCTCCAAGGTTACATAATAAATCATAGCAGAGTCTAAAAGTTTTGCTAAATTTCTAGTTTGCTTAAGATGGATAGTGGTATTTCTTAAATCCAAATTCAATTGCTTTTGTTTATGGTGACTTACTGACTCAGGGATGAAAACTCCAGAAATTGAACACGGTAATACTCATAAAAAGGGGAAAAAATCTGTTAATAAAATATTTTGAATTTCTCCAGTCCATTGCAAACTCTTCAGTAAGAAAAATAGAGCTTATTCCAAGAATATAATATCTCTATGAGATTTTAATCCTTTTCTTTATTGTTCAGATGTTACTCTTTGGAGATTTAGAAAAATATATATTGAGGACAGATGACATTTGTCACTGTAGCAACTGTGACCATTTAGATGGTATAAAGGCATTTTTTAAATAACTTGTCAGGTAAATCCTCAATGACAGTTATGAAACTTTGTGGCATATCGGGACAACGACAATAATATCATTGCCCACAATGTTTTATATAAACTTCCCATAACTCTGCAGGAATAAATATATGGAGATCCTTGTGGAATCTAAAAAAATAAATCTAATGTCAAATGTCATAGCCATAGCACTGAGAACATAAACAGAGTTCTTGGGAATTAAATAATCTGATACAGCGGCTGGGCACGGTGGCTCATGCCTGCAATCCCAGCACTTTGGGAGGCCAAGGTGGGTGGATCACAAGGTCAGGAGTTCAAGACCAGCCTCATCAATATGGTGAAACCCTGTCTCTACTAAAAATACAAAAATTAGCCAGGCATAGTGGTGCATGCCTGTAGTCCTAGCTACTCAGGAGGCTGAGGCAGGAGAATCGCTTGAACCCAGGAAGTGGAGGTTGCAGTGAGCTGAGATTGCACCACTGCACTCCAGCCTGGGTGACAGAGCAAGATGATGCTGTCTCAAAAAAAAAAAAAAAATCTGATAAATCATATGTAACTACTTTATCAGAAAATTTTTTTGTCCAACATAAATGATAATATCCAGTGCCCAGATTTCCATGGAAGAGCTAACTATTCTGAATAAAAGAGGAATGAGAAATTTTAAGTGCCTTAGAGGTTGAGATAGATGCATTTAATAGGGAAAATTTCAGAGATAAAAGTCCCATGGTCAGCAAGTTCAAGACAAGACTTGAAAAACTGTCAATGTCTGAGGTGAGGTTTGTTTTTAATTTGTTTGTTTGTTTTCAGGATCATTTGCTGTGTTACATGTTTGATGTGAAACTTCTTCAAGGACCATAAAAACATTTGCTTATATCCCCCTAATCATTGATGTTTTCTTTGAAAATTCATAGAGGCTTTAAATTTTGTGTCCAGTAGGCACACTGTAATACAAAATCCAAACAATGAAGAGAGCTATCAGAGATATATTTTTATATTAGAAAGTTTCCAGAAACGTAAACACACTTTAAATACTTTCTGTTATACTAATATTACTAATATATTTTTCACCAGTAAAATTATGTTTTCTAATTTATTTTTTAAATTCAGACTGTTTGCATTTGAAATTATCAATTTTTTGTCTAAATAATAATTGCAAAATATTCAAAATTCTTTTTCAAATTTTTACTTACCAATTAAATATAATAATAGAGTTGAAAATAATTATAAGTAATAAAATATTTTAACCTTATTCTCTTAAGTATAGTGACACCTCGTTATAATTATAAAGGTTAAAAAAAGTATTACATGGCAAGGCTGAAGTGCATTAATATCTTCATGAGGTTAATTAAAGGAGAACAATACAAAATGAAAGTATTTGGTGAATCAATGTAGCTCTGTATATGGGACGGAAGGCTGTCTAGAAAATGTATGTATTTATTGTGTATTTGCTTATTTATTTTGTATTTATTTAAACTAGCTTTCAAACCCAAGCTTACTACCTAACTACTGTATTTTAAGGGCAGGTTAGGGTGTTAAATATTTATTAATATGTTATTGATGAGTTGAAATTAAGGTTTTTGTTCTCAAGTATTTATTTTCTTAAAATAGTATTTAGTGGTAAATACTGAAGTTAACTGCTGAACTGTGAGAAAACATATCATTAAAACTGAGTTTTTGTTTCTTTATTATATCCAGACAAGTTTAGAGAAAGCAATTATTGGTGGAGAAGCTAAAAATACATAATATCAATATTTTCTCAGTTCAGGGTTAATGAAGAAAGAGTAAGGGAAAGCCAATTTAAGATCAGAAGAACAAACACTTTGGACAAGTGCGTAGATTTCGTGGAGTATACAGAGTATTCAGACTCTCTGTAGGTGGCTGACAGCTGTGCTTTTCAGCCTCTTTATAAATTTACACAAAATTACCCAGTTGTCTAACAACTAGCTAGTAGGATACTGCTTTTCATCATTTTTATGAGGTGTCGTCCATTTCTTACAGCTCTTTACAGCTCTCTTAATCCTGGTTTTGTTTGCATACTTGTAGTTGAGTAAAGTTTTTCTAAAATTAAGCTCTCTCTAGAAATCAAAAGCTTCGTATTTTCAATTTCAGCTTGTCCTGACTTTGTGTCTCAGGATACTTTATTTTTTTTATTCATTTTATTTTATTTTATTTTATTTTTTTTTGAGAGAGAGAAACAACTGTTATAATTAGATAATTTAGCTAAGGTATGAGAGCCTGAAGAGTCATATTCAGTGGTTATATTTTTAGCAAATAAACAAATTTCAAGCCTTTTTTGATGTTAATGACAGCCTTCTAAATCAGTAGCTGGGAGACACATGCTGTCCCAAATGGATAGAGCTTTGGCTTCTTCTTCCTGCTTTAACCAAAGATGCTCCAATTAGATCCATTTTTATAATAAGCTTCTTAATAAGCTTTAATGTAAGTAAATGTCCTATATATTAAAAACAAAAGTTGAAAGTAAATGTACTAAAGCAAATTGGCTATTATATCATACAGAATTTAGGGCTCAGGCTCAGGAACCAAATTCCTTAGGTTCAAATCTTGGCTCAGTCAAAACACTACACACACACACACACACACACACACCCCTACCTATCTATCCAGTCCATAAACAACTATGAACAAGTAATTTAACTTCTTTGTGCCTCATGTTTTATATGTAGAATGAAGTTATAACAATACTACCTATCTCATAGAGCTGCTTTGAGAATTAAATGCATTAATGCCATATGCCATGTAGAGCACTTAGAATGATGCCTGGTAAAAATAATAAAATAATAAATAATAAATCAATACAATTTAGATATTACTAATCTTTGTGTTGGCATTACCATTATATTTTCAACATTATACTCCTAGGCCCTTATCATATCTCTTCTTGTATTGCCATTGGAGTAAATGTCTAATTCTCTTTATTGAATTGTAGGCGTGAAGAGCCAATATTCTAATTGTCCTTCCAGGTAGCTAGTAGGGTTGAACCTTCTTGCTTTTGTTAGAAATTGCCGTGCGACTTTCTTTGTTCAGCAGAATGTTCAGGAATGAGTGAAAGTGTGCCTGTCACTTTCAGGCAAAAGCTTTAATATCAGTATATAATTTACTGAGTCCCCTTCCTGTGCCTTGTTGATGTGGAAGCAAGTGTTAAAATAGAGCTTCCATCAGCCTCAGAGGCTATGATGAGCAGATTCTATTATTGACCTGCATTAAACCTGCAGCAAAAGCAAGAAGTAACTTTTTGTTCCTTTAAGCTGCTAGAGTTTGGAGTTAGCCTGTCATTATAGCATAAATTAATCTATTCTGATTTTTACAGAAACTGGGTATTGCTATTCCTTCCCTTCTTTCCTTAACTCATTTAACAGAATAGTATCATGTCAAATAAATGAAAGAAAATATCTTCAATAGAATAGTTGTTCATCATTGTATAATTCATGAAACGTGAATTCCACAAACTACAATCTTCAATCAAAGGATTATTTTCACCTTGTGCTTGACATTTTAATATCAGTTAACTGTTGCCTAATCCTGCTTTTTTCATTTCATATCATCATAAATCCACCCTATAGAGCTGCTTTCATTGGTAAATTTATAGGGAATAGCAGTGTATCACTATAATACCATACTTTGACATTTATTTCCTTGGAAATGACAATGAAAGAGCAATTGTTTACCTGATATAATGAAAATATTATATTTTTCTTCTTTTTATGTATACTCTTAGCCACAGAAAGGTGGATATGTTCTGGTCCTCAAAAACGGTATAGTTTCTTTTTTTTTCTAAGTGCTAAATTAAGATTTTAGAAAATAACAGGGCTGGATAGATTCAATGTGGGGTGGGGGTGGGGTATTAATGTAATTGAAAAGCTCTGGGAAAGAGGGAAGAGTTTGAGAATAGGGATTGGCTTCCAGAAAATTTATTGATGCAGCTTTCTAAAACCTTACAGATTTGTATGTTCCTGTTTGTACACACTGAAGACCAGCAGATGCTACTTTCATGAAATTATGTTGGGGATAGTGTGAAGAGACAACATAACACATTTTGTGAGATAAAAAATGTTCTACTGGAGATATTGTGAAGGGCAAATAGTATATCCTCTGTGCTATTGGCTAATATTTTAATGGATTTTTATGTATTCAATTTTTTCATTAAATTGTGATTTCCCTGAATACAAGAGTCTGCATCTTCTTCACTGCCATTTCTTAATTTCGTAGAACATCTTAATTTCATTAGCACATCTAGCAGAGCTTCGAAACCTAGTTAAAGTTAAGTTTACTAGGTTAAATCAGTAATTAGAAAATTAAAGTTATTCATTTATACTTTAGTTTTTATATGTCTTTATTCCACAATATATAATTATTGTTGTTTTGCAGTGTAACTTTCGTATTTATCAACAGTTTTTCCTTTGGACCCTTATAATTATCTGCATGTCCATGCTTATATTTGGAGTAGTTTTCTCAGCTACCATAAATGATTATTTTTTGATTCCATGAATAATTTGGAAGTATACTAATACATTTTCAAATATTTGAGAATTTTCCAGAGCTCTTATTTTCATTGGATTCTAATTTAATTTCATTTTTAATATATTGAAGCTTGCTTTATTGCAAATAATTTTATTTATTTTGGTACATGTGTTATGTACACTTGAAATGAATATGCATTCTGATGTTTTTGTTTGGAGTGTTCAATAAAGTCAGTCCTTTTTAATCACGTGAAAGGATTGTCTGGTTCCATATACATTTTAAAATATTTTTTCTAGTTCTGTGAAGAATGCCATTGGTAGTTTGATAGGAATAGCATTAAATGTGTAAATTGCTTTGGGCAGTATGGCCAGTTTAAAGATATTGATTCTTCCTTCCTCATGAGCATGGAATGTTTTCCCATTTGTTTATGTCATCTCTGGTTTCTTTGAGCAGTGTTTTTAAATTCTCATTGTAAAGATCTTTCACCTCCCTGGTTAGCTGTATTCCTGGGTCTTTTATTCTTTTTGTGGTGACTGTGAATGGGATTGCATTCCTTATTTGGCTCTCAGCCTGGCTGTTATTAATGTATAGGAACGCTAATGATTTTGTACATTGATTTTGTACATTGATTTTGTATCCTGAAACTTTGCTGAAGTTGTTTATCAGGTGAAGGAGCTTTGCGGTCCAGACTACGGAGGTTTTCAGACATAGAATCATGTCTGCAGGGATACTTTGACTTCCTCTCTTCCTATTGCAATGCCCTTCGTTTCTTTCTCTTGCCTGATTGCTCTGGCCAAGACTTTCAATACTATGTTGAATAGGAGTTGTGAGAGAGGGCATCCTTGTCTTGTGCCAGTTTTTCAAGGAAAATGTTTCCAGCTTTTATCCATTTAGTAAAATGTTGGCTGTTGGTTTGTCATAGATGGCTCTTATTATTTTGAGGTATGCTATTTCAATACCTAGTTTATTGAGAGTTTTTAACATGAAGGGATGTTGAATTTTATCAAAAGCCTTTTCTGTATATACTGAGATAATCATCTGGGTTTTGTCTTTAGTCCTATTTATGTGATGAATCACATATATTTATTTATGTATGTTGAACCAACCTTGTATCCCAGGGTTAAAGCCTACTCGATCATCGTGGATTTCCTTTTTGATGTGCTGCTGAATTTGGTTTGCAGGTATTTTGTTAAGGATTTTTAGATCAACGTTCATCAAAGATACTGGCCTGAAGTTTTTATTTATTTATTTATTTATTATTTTTTATTTTTTTTATTATTGTGTTTCTGCCAGGTTTTGCTATCACAATGATGCTGGCCTCATAGAATGAGTTGGGGAGGAGTCCCTTCTCAATTTTTTTTTTTTTTTTTGGAATAGCCAAGGCAATTCTAAGCAAAAAGAACAATGCAGGAGGCATTATGTTACCCAACTTGAAACTATGCTACAGGACTACAGTAAACAAAACAGCATGGTACTGCTACAAAAACAGACACACAGACCAATGGAACAGAAGAGAGCCTAGAAATAAGGACACACAACTACAACCATCTAATCTTTGACACGGCTGACAAAAACAAACAATGAGGAAATGATTTCTTATTCAATAAAATGGTGCTGGGATAACTGGCCAGCCACATGCAGAAAATTGAATCTGGACTCCTTCCTTACACCATAGGCAAAAACCAACTTAAGATGGATTAAAACTGAAATGTAAAATCCAAAACAATAAAAACCCTGGAAGACAACCTAGGCAGTACCATTCTGGACATATGAATGGGCAAAAATCTCATGACAAAGATGCCAGAAGCAATCACAACAAAAACAAAAATTGACAAATGGTATCTAATTAAACTTAAGAGCTTCTGCACAGCAAAAGAAACTACCAAGAGGGCCAATAGACAACCTACAGAATGGGAGAAAATATCTACAAACTATGCATATGATAAAGATCTAATATCCAGCATCTATAAGGAACTTAAACAAATTTACAAGAACAAAATAAACAACCCCATTAAAAAGTGGGAAAAGAACATGAACAGATACTTTTCAAAAAAAGACATATATGTGGCCAACAATCATATTAAAAAAATCTCAACATCACTGATCAACAGAAAAATGAAAATCAAAACCATAATGAGATACCATCTCATAACAGTCAGAATGCCTATTATTGAAAGTCAGAAAATAACAGAATGCTGTCTAAGTTGTAGAGAAAAGGAACACTTACACACTGTTGGTGGAAGTGGAAATTAGTTCAGCTATTTTGGAAGGCTGGTAAGTGGTAATTAAGATGGTAATTCTTCAAAGAGCTAAAAACAGAGTTACCATTAAACCCAGCCATACTGTTACTGGTATATACCCAGAAGAATATAAATCATTCTACCATAAAGACACATGCACATGTTTGTTCATTGCAGCAGCATTCACAATAGCAAAGACGTGAAGTCAACCAAAATGCCCATCAATGGCAGATTGAATAAAGAAAATGTGGTATCTATACAACATGGAACACTATACCGCCATAAAAAGAAAGAGATCATGTCCTCAACTCAATTATGAGAAAACATAGACACAAAAAGGGGAACAACAGATGCTGGGGCCTGCTTGAGGGTGAAGTGTTGGGGGAGGAAGAGGATCAGAAAAAGTAACTGTTGGGTACTAGGCTTAGTACCTGGGTGATTAAAAATCTGTACAACAAACCCTTGTGACATGAGTTTACATATATAACAAACCTACACATGTATCTTTGAACCTAAAATAAAACTTTTAAAAAAGGAAAGATTAAAAAAAAAGATGGTTTGTATTCTTGGTAAAATTATTTAGTCTAAAATCTACTTTCTCTCAAAATAATATAGCTTATTCAGCTTTATTTTTTAAACTTGCATTACCATAGTATTTCTTAATTCACCTTTTTACCTATAACTTATTTGTATCTCTATTCTTAAAGTGTTTTTCTTGTAGGCAAGAAATAATTGGATCTTTCTCTTTTCTCAGTTTTACCTCTGACTTTGTACTGGGGTTGTTTAGAGCATTTCTTTTCCATTAAATTATTGAGATGGTGAGATTTAAGTCTTTTATTATGTCATTGATTTTCTATTTGCCTCGTACAGTTTTTGTTCTCTTTTCTATTTTTGTTGCTTCCATTCTAATTGATTGTCTTCTAAAGTTTCCCCTTCTTGGCTTAATAGTTTTAACTTTTATTTTGTTATTTTAGAGGTTGGTTTGGGATTTATATTATCATAGCTTACTTTCATTTGATATTATGACATTTCACGTATAGAATAAGAACTCCTCCAGCCTATATGTTATCATTTCCATACATTGTGCATTTAATATTATAAACACCACACTATATCTATATTATTATTTAAATAGACTATTTTGTTTAAAAATATTATATAGTAAAAATATTATACATACTTGTCTATGTAGTTACCATTTCTAGTGCCTTTTGTTTCTTGTAGAAACACAACTCTGCACTTGTTTTCTGCCTGAAGGATTTCCTTTAACATTTGTCATAGTGTTGATCTGCTAGATATAAATAATTTCAGATTTTATATGTCTAAAAAGTATTTGTTTTGCCATTAATTATAAAAATATATTTTATACTGTGTATAGAATTCTGTGTTGACATTTTTTCAATAATTTGAGTATTTCTCCACTGTCTGCTTTTGTTGCATTTTTCCAATGAAAAAGCTGCTGTCAATCCTATCTGTGTCTTCTATAGATAAAATGTCTTTTTCTCTAGTTTTTTAAGATTTTTTTTCTACATTTCTGGTTTTGAGCAATTTGATTATGATGTTCCTTGGCATAGTTTTATTTTTATTTCCTGTGGTTGGGGTTTCTTGAAATTCTTAGAACTTAGGGTTGTAGTTTTATAGAATTTCAAAATGTTTCAGGCATTATTTCTTAAAATATTTTTTCAGCCCACATTCTTCGCCTTCAGGGATGTCAACTACACTACATTAGGCCACTGGAAGTGTTCTACAGGTCAATGATGCTCTTTATACTTTTTTAAAGTTCTTTTCTATCTCCGTGTTTCATGTTAGATTGTCTGTTGCTATGACAAATTCAATTTAAATTCAGTAATATTTTCTTCTGTTGGTACTTAATGTATTCTTAAGATATGTTATAATTTAATAGCAATCTGTAAGAAAGGATTTAAAATTTAAAAGCAAATCATAAAGGATTTATTTCTGTTGGTGTATTAAAATACTCATTGAATACTTACTATTAGCCAGAAAAATTATATTAAACATTTTTAAATTACAAAGGTAAGTTTACATGTAATTTTTTTATATTCAAAAGAGAGTTGGAAATAGATAAAGCAAGAATTTTATAGATTTGAAACTTGAGACAGTTATTTTACAGAGCTACAGAATTATTAATTATAAATAGAAACAAGAAAGGAAATGGTCAAACTGGAAAAAAGGACTAAAAAAATTACAACTGATTTAGTTAATAAAATAAAATGTGATTCAGTTCAAAAATCATTTATTAAATGCTTACTTTTGCAAGTTACTCTACTAAGCACTGGTGAGGGGAATGCAGATTAATTCACAGTCTCTACCAGTATTTATTATTAATATGGATAGAGTCATTTTTACCCTTACATTTCACATGAACACATTTTGTTTCTGTTTCTAAAAAATTCAATTACAGAGGGAGAGATCTCATATACCATTTTGAGTCTGTGAAGAATTTTAAAACGTTTATAAGGTTTTGTGTTGAGAAATGGTGATAAGAACTTAATCTCTCAATTATAACATCAACATCATCAATATCATATATTCAAATTCATTTGTGTGAGTCTTTTATTAACACTTATCTGAGTAGTCTAATTGCCCATCACTCTTCTCATTCTTGAGAGTAGTTATTTGGACTACTTATTTTTCAACATGCTGTGTCTGTATATGCTTATTTCTCAGCATGATAAAATCTCTTCTACCTAATTGAATAGGAAAACTGGACCAAAAACTCCAATGTTTAATTAAAAAATTGTTTCATCTCATAAGCATTCTATGGCAACTTTCTGTTGGCTTAGCTTCTTACTTCCTTAACAATACCTTTTATTATAAAAGTCTCATTTTGTTTGTTTTGAGAGCTTTATTGGGAAGTTTCATTTGGAAAAACTCAAATAATTCAAACCCAAATCTGGAAAAGTATGGTGGGTAAATTTTTAACAATCAAATTGACACAACCATTAGTCAAGAGATTAAGCCAAGTTCATTGTTCATCCTACCTATACATTTTAAAATTATGTACATTTGATCAACTTAATTTGTGATTGATGTACTCTACTTAAAATATTTTATATAAATTAATAGTTTATTAATAATTTACATCATACTGCTCCACATTTGAATAATTCAAATTTACCTACAACATAAACACACGGTGCTGTAGTTATGGCACTTGTTTTATGTCACTGTATCTATCTAAAAAATAGCCCTGTGTCACTCCCAAAGATGAGGTATTTTTCATGTAAATATCACCAAAACTGAAAATCAATGCTGAGACAGCATAAGTGCTCAGTAATTGCTGAATGACTTAAAAGATAAGTAAAAACATACCATTAAGCAATATAATTGTTTGAAATGATCTTACGTTCTTCATAAGAGAAAAAGAAGGAAGGAAGGAAGGAAGTCAGTCTTATAATCAAAGAATTTATAGAAAAATATAAAGAAAATGTGTATACTTGTATGAATATGTGTTTATACGTCTGCATGTGTTTATATGTCTGTGTGTGAGTTTCTGCATTGGCAGATGCAAAATATTCGTATTGGCTGATTATTAAACAAAATCAGTTGGTAACCTTCTAGATGTTCCATTCATTTAAATATAATTTTTACATTTCTTATGAACAGCATAATTTCATTGGCCCCAAGCATTGTAAACTATCTCATTTGATTTTACACATTGAAAGTATTTTTAAAAGAAGTCATGATACACATTTTAACAGCTTGTCAATTTATTATTTATCAATTCTAGCCTTTAAAAAATTTAGGAAAGCGATTACAGCAATTATATACCAGAATTGTTTTCTAATCTCCATTATAATTGCTGAAACAATTAAGGATATAGAAATGGGATTAGAAAATATTGTAAAAATTATGTATTTTCTTTGAGTTTTATGTTTATACACTAATCACAAAAAATAAGCTTTACTATTATAGACAGATTGTATAAATGTGATTACTTAGATACTAACTGTATAGAAAATTAATGTAGGTTTTCTTCTTTGTTACCTATGTTTTCAGATCAAACTCATAAAAGATTTTTAACTTGCTGTACAAACTCATAATTGATTAAAAATATTATTTAAAATGCTAAAGCATTTTTGTTACCTAGAACCACATATTAGAAGAATATCTCAAAATAATAGGTAGGTAAAATTAAAACTTATTTGTATGTACTTTTCAAATATATCTACTTGCCCCTTTTTATTAAAATTACTAAATATTTTAGTTGGCAGGATCATAAACCCTATCGGACCACATTCTTACTCTTCAATTTTGTGGCAGATGCCAGACCTATACACTAAAAATGGCATTGTGGATTTCTTGGAAAGTATGGAGAATTGAGGGGAATAATAATTCTCCCCATATGTGATTCTCTTTGCCATCCAATCGTATAGACTTGGGGACTTTTTTTTCCTCTTGGGTGGAAATTGAAGTCGAATTTAGGATAGGAGGGAAGACCCATATGATAATTTTTTATATTTTTTTAAGGGGCAAAATACAAGTCTTCAAATTAAAACGAAGTGCATACCTTAATATTAAAAAGGTTTTGTAATAAACTCCATTCTTTGAGGATAAATTTGTTTATCTAAAGGTCCAGAAAAGTTTATGGAAGTAGAATTGGTCTTGGTTGGTAGTTGGCAGAAAAACACTTGACAGTGGAGTTTTGCCCAGAAATTTGCTATAGGATTTTCAGCTAATTAAATGAAAAAGGCAAAAAAAGAGAGAAGAAATATGATATTGGGACATTTATAATTCAACCATTATAAACTTCTTTCCTTTCTCTTTTCTATGCTCTCTTACCCATGGACAAATGCCATATGCTATTAAGAAAATTGGCTCTTTAAGTTGGATATTATCCAAAGCCCCAATGTATAAAGATGGAAAATAAATAAATACTGGAGCCAGGATGTTACACATCTTATCTTTGGAGAATTATTAACTCAGAGGTACCATATGTGATGGCTGTCTATGGTTTGCATGGTCAAGATCATTATTAAGCATATGGAACCTCCAACACTAATTCTAGTGTCATGAATTCCGTTTAAAAGCAATTCTTCTACAGTCAGGTTCTGGCAAAACTTCAAAGCTAACATTCAAAGTCGGAAAGCTTAAAACTGTGCAAGCTTATGTAGATTCCTTAAATTGTCTGGTTTAGGAGATTTCTGGGCATTTGAAGCTTTGTAAGCCATTGCAGAGTGAAAAAAGTTAATCTGTGTGGCTACATTTTCAATAATGTGACATTAGATTCATTTCAAAGGCTTTTCTTCTTGGGTATCAAGCCACAGTCAGGATTTCTCCAGGGTACAGAATACAGGCTCTTCCTTATTTATTTATTTATTTTTAATGAAAGGATTGCTCCTCATGCTGAGGATTATATAGTCAAAGACTGAAGCTGTGTTTTTGTTATACCCAAAGAGCAAAAAATGGACTGTTTTCTTAAAAAATAAATGCCTGTAACAATAGCAGTAAAACTGCATTTTAAGGCATAAAACTCCTAAAAATATAGGTGAACAATAGCATAAAACTGATGTGTGATTATAAGGGCTATATCAATATGACATTTGAAATTAAAATGCTAAATATACATTCTTCCTCTCTCTCTCATTTAACATCTCCAGAAATAATCTAGTTTTCTAAGTTAGCTGAACGCACAAGGTAAATATTTTTTAATTGTTTACTAAGCTGTTTTTCTATGTAATCATTTCAATATGCATTTTTAATATTAGGCAATTTAAGGAGTATGAACAAAAAAATAAGACCCTGAATAGCCAAAAAATGATACATAAGTATTTTTAAATTTTATTTATATTTTAAAAAAAGAAATTTGACATACTTTATCAATTTTTCCCCCCTCTGGGTACTTTTCTCTTTAAGATAGTGAGAATCGCCCATCAAGATATTTAATTACTATGTAATCAAATCTATACAGTGGCCTGATATTGTGCTCAGCTATAATCCCTGCATTCAGACACATCTGTATATTTGAAAAAAATCAAAATAGCAACTTAAAAAATTGATATACTTAGGTACATATGCAGCCTTGAATTTGTGTGTGTGTGTGTGTGCGTGTGTGTGCACGTGTGCTTTAAATTGCAAATTATGTCATATCTTACCAACTTGATTATAAGTTTCTGGATGACAGCAACTTCATCATAAACACATTTTCTTCTCTTTGGGTAACTTTCACAATGTTTCCCACAAAATAGATTAATTTTAAGGCTGTTTTGGAGAAATGGGCATACTAAATAATGTATGAATTATTGAATTTTGACAATTATTAGGAGATTCACATTGTTGACCCCAAACCCAAATTGAAAATTAAGTTCATTATGCATTTCTTTTTAAATTTTCGATTTTTAGTTTCCAAAATCAAGCACTTTATATTACTTTTCTGAACATTAAGAAATAGCCTTAGCAGGCATATAAATACATATATATATTTGCCGTTTATATATAACACTTAATGAATACTCATTTCAGTACTTAAAATTTGCAAAAATTAGAAATATTTCCAAAAATGGCATTAAGAAAGCTTTATCAATTCATATGGATTATGATATATGTTTTATGTGTGTGTGTATGTTTTTTTTTTTTTTTTTCGGTAGTGGTCAATCAGATGTGTCCCCAAGACGGGACACGGGAGAGACTCAGGGAAACAATGTTTATTATGCTCACAGGTTCTAGAAAGAGTACTGTATGCTGAGAGGGGCCCCAGAGGAGGAGCACCACAGGAGCAGGTTCAACCAAGCCAGTGAAAAGCCCCAAGAAACCGTCAGGCGAGGGTTTTTCTTATACGTCAGAATAGAGTACATCAGAAAAGGCTTGAAGGGATTTCACTGGTCCTTTTGGATGTTACTAGGTCACTGTCAGGGGAGGGCAAGAAGAGGAACTTGTGTCACAGACCACTCTATTCACTGGTGAACTTGATCACTTGGGCAGGGTGCTCACAGCTTGTCTGTGGGGATGTTGAGGAAGCAAGAAAAAAAGAAAGAAAAAATATGAAGTTTTAAAAATTTACAGTACAATATAGTATGAAGCTATTAAAAAGGCATTGACCATTTTTATGTCCTTTGTCAATTCAGCTTCATCTCTGCCCCTTCCATCATCTCTGGGAGGAAGCCAAAAGTTTAAATCTCATAATCTCTTTTCACTACAGTTCCAGGTTGGATTCTGAAGGCAAAAGAGGAGAGCCCTCATTTTCTAGAGGCAGATATACACAAGCATCCTGTAGCACTGAATGCTCCACCTGAGGATCACCCACTTACGTACTGAGGCAGCAAAGATCTTTGGCAGCTTGCAGGTGGCTCTAGGCATTCCCTTCAGAATCTCCATCCCTGATGCTGCCATATGGCTGTAATCACTGATGGAAGCTTCTTTGCAATTGCTGCACTTCCAGATTGCCTGAAAGTGGCCTTCTAGTCTTCACTCTCCTAGTGCTTTGAGCAGCCCTTAAGCTTATAAATCCCTATAATATATCTTTTTCTATTCCAGTATCCTAGTGAGACTTCTATTTCCTTAATGGCATTCTGAATGTTTCATATAGTTACATCATACATTTATATCTGCAGACATGGTAAGATGTTCACAATATATTATTAAGTGGAAAAAAATACGATAGAATAGTATGCATAAACTGGTACTGCTTTCTTCTCCTCTTTTTATAAATGTTTAATTATAAGCATTGAAACATCAAAGCGTATGTGCCACATTGACGATGTTGTTAACAGTAGTTACATTTTTCTTTTCCTTTTAGATTTTTTTTCATTTTTGAACACTTAACATGGAATAATTGTTCAATAAAAATGAAAGAAAAAAATTCATTAAAAGCTCTAAGATGTAGTTTACTATAAATATAAACAATATTATTTTAATTTAGAGAAGTAAATTGAGGAATGTGCTAAAGTGGAATATTCAGCCTGGATTAGCCTGGTAGTAATAGATGCTTATTGAGGCAAATCCTTGCGTATTATCAATTTATTTCTGATTCCTGGACATAAACTCTTTCTGTGACAAATTGATGATAAATAAAAGTAAATCATAATTCCAATAAGGTGATTTCACAAACATATGTTTCTTTTCAATGCTGAACAAAACTGAGGTTAGAGATGAATATCTGTCCTGAACTGCCAATTTTCTTATAAACTCTTGAAAATTTTGATTTTTCCTTGGTTGTTGTTTTACTTTACAAATTTGGAAACAATTATCTTATGACTAATTTGTTTTGAAATGTAAACAAGAACATGGATATAGACTTTTTCATTCTCCTTTTTCCTTGCTTATAAATTATTGAAAATCAACTTTGGTTTTTCTACTAATTTACTTAATAAATTAAATAATCTCATACTCCCTTGGTCCTTTTTTTTTTTTAGTAAATCAGCTCTGAAACCAAAAATCTCTAAGGACTATAGGGTTTCAGTAGGTATCTAATAAAAAACAAAACAATCTGTCATAACAAAATAAAGTTAAGGTGTTATTTTGACTAACATTTAAAAGATAAATCTGAAAATATTTCTAAAGATAAATTTCTTTAAAAATCAAAATAAATTATGGCATAATTATAGTATAACCATTTTTGGTAAAACATCGTAACTGTTGACTAAATCACTTGAAATGAAAACATGTTTTCCTAATTTTTCCCCTTTTTCCCTTTTTTAGAATTTTATACATATTTTATACCCACTTTGCAGACTAATTTCAGAAGGGTTTTCTCTAAATGCTAGGCAGAATGAAATGAAATGATTATTTCTTGTGCTCTAAAGCAAAATAGTGTCCACTGTATTCTGGAAGAGCAAAAAGGTCTATTGTAAGTGAGGTGCTCTTTGTGAAACCTAGGAGATAAGAGAAGCTCTTTGTTGTGGCAGGAGGAGCCTGACATTTCAGCAAGAAAGTATTTTAAATATCAAAAGTGTATGTAGGTGTTAGCTGGAAAGCAACATAACTATGTTTCAACTATGTTTTTGCTTTTAATGCCAGCAACATAGTTGAAATACTTGAATATTCCTTCTTATTTAGGGGAAATAGAGCCCAAATGGAAACCTAAAATGGACCCATTAGTGGGAAGCGGAGCTGAACTAAGTCAGTTGTGTGTGCATGTGTGTGTGCATGTCTGACATTTTGCTGATAATGATGGATAAATTATAAAATGACATAGAAATAAAATATAATAAGGATGAAAGCTAGTTAAATCTTTTAAAATAAATGGAACATACAACCTCAAGTACATGTGACTTGCTAAATGAAGATTAAAATAATCACTAGATGTCAAGGACTATCATTTTAATCAGATTTATTCTAGTAACACCAAAAATGTACTAAAATGTAAATATTAAGACAGAATTTAGAGAAAATCATGACAACATATTTTAAGAAAGCTGCTATTATTGGTTTTAAGGAAAGAAAATGTAGGTGTATTTAAAATTATCATTGGAACTGACTACTAATGATTTAGCACAATGCCCTGACATACCACAGAATCCATGTGGGAACTCTCATCTTAATTCCTTCATGCACCAGAAAGTTCATCAGTGGAGGCAGAATCAAATGAATGCTCTCACCATTAGGTTAACATGACCAAAGTGAGGTGGTTTTCTTTTACATAGTGAAAAGTAGAACAGTGCTCACACAGCTGCTGACATGCAAACAGTTTACATAACTTACTAACTCGAAATGTCTATTCAGATAGCAAGGGCAGGATCTCCATGTTTCAACTGTTTGACACAATGATGGATTATTTATTTACTGAACAGCACTGGTGGCCAGAAAATCTGATTTCCATGCATGAAATCCATGAAACCTCAGCCACTGAACAGTTTCTTCTACATGTGGCAAAGGTCATCTATCAAGGGATTTTCTCACGTTTTGTGTGATTGGTCATGCCTCATTTCCTTCAAGAAAATATGATTTCCCTAAAGTCTGTGTATTTTAAAAAGACTCACAAAAGACCCAGAAAGTTATTTCCTCTCTGTTTGTGATAAGTACAGAATATAGAGGCTAACCTATAGGGAACGACAAGCAACTGTTTGTAGCTAGGAACCATATTTAATCCTATCATTAGGAAGCCTTTGCACTCACCAGGTATAAAAAGACTGCAAAATTAGACACTTAACCTTGTCATTTAACCTTGCAGAGTTTAATCTGCATTCAAACTTTAATAAATATATCCCATAGACCTATTCTTACATAGTAGAAGGCATTTGTTTCAGATAGTGTATTTCAAACTTACAATCATTTGGTGAATGGCTGTGTGAAGATTTGACAACCTTAAAAATACTGAAAATCATTATTTCCATTTTTGACCTCAAAAATCAATGAGAATGAACATTAAGAGATTATATTTTTAGTAAAATTTCTAAGAACAGTAAATATAAAGCATGGTGAAAATCAAGAGCAATTTAAAGAGTACTGAGAACAGACTAGGACATATACTTGGAGATTGAAAAAGCAAAACAAAACCCTACTGTTCTAACTTAATTATATTTATAAAATATTCTTTGGGTCACAGTTCAGAAGTATCTTATAGTAGTAAAAATGTGCCAAATCTCTTAATGAACCTAGGTTTTGTCTAGAGTTCCAAATATTGAGTGGCTACTCTGTATCACTATAAACACCTCCAGATTCCTTCATTGTGGAGGGATGGGTGCATGTGCTCAATTGAGGCACTGAAGTAGGAAAGTCAGGAATAATCTCTGATTATTAATATTATTGTGATACATCATGAAGACAATAGCTATGGAGAGTCAACATAAGGATATGGCAAATGATAATACCGTATCAGATACTGAGTAGAGTATAAGATACCATCCAAGTAGCTTGGTCATGAATTTACTGAGTATCTAGCTTTACAGCCACTGATTATACAGGCTCTTTTCAAGGCCTTGTATGTGGGTTTGAATTAGTAATTTTGAATTACTTTTTGTAAAGAAAATATTCCCTAATTGCATAAGCTTTACACCCTCAAAATATTAATCATCCAATTTCCACCATACCTGGATACCATAAATTTCTTTTTCTGTGTTTAGCTCCCTATGTAGTAAAACATGCATTTGTTCAACCAAGTCTATTCGAAGTTAGATTTGGAGGATGACAAACAGGAGGTTGGGAAAATTATATCGTGCATAACATTTTTCAGCTTTCTCACAACAAATGTGTATTCATATGTGTACGTTTGTAAGTGTGTGTAATATTGAGTTAAGTTTAACTTGTATAGAGATCTTTTTAGGAACAAAAGATACACTCTTGAAAGACACCATTACAATTAAAGTTGTGCTTTAGAAAGTGGTGCAAAAGTTACATTTCTTAAGGGAGTTACAAGAGAAGGGTAGAGAGTTTTACACGCAGATGAAAGTATCTCCATGTGTTACTATCCTCTTTCTCTTGCTATTTTCATCAAAAACAATATATTATGGATTAGGGGAAGTGAAAATTTACTTCTAACTCTCTTAGGATCTCTGACTGGGCCTGTGAAGTAATTTGGCACAAGGTAGATTAACAGGAGAAAAACACGCAAGTAACTGTATTCAATACAGTTTTATATGACATGGAGCTCTCAAAAGGAAATGCCCCCCAAAAGTGGTAAAACCTAAATGCTTTTATATTAGTTTAAACAAAGAGAGGCAACTGTGGAAAAGTAAGTAACTATACTTACTAAAGTATAACCTATAGAGGAGGCTAAAGGAGCATAGGAATTATTTTAACAGTCTGTTTTTATGGAATTATCTTGGCTAAGACTCCTCCTCGAAGAATATTTCTTTTTTCCTTGGCATAGGTAAGGCATCTTTCACGTGGGATTTTGTATCTCCTCTTTTCAAGCGAAAGGGGTAATTAGAATGCCATTCTTATACCTGCTGTTTTTCAAGTGCCTTTAGCTCAAAATAATCTTTATGCCAAAGTGGCATATTCTGCCACTCTTCAGTGAGATTTGAGGAAATCACCCCTAATTTCTTCATTTTATTTATGGCTCTTTCTTGGTCATGAGCTTCTTTGACGTGCCAAAATTAATTAAAAAATGAAAATGTAATATATTTATGTATACACAAAGACACAAGCACATGCCCATACACATATATACTGTCTTTGGTTAAGTTAATAAATTTGTGCATGTATGTTCATGTGTGCATGTGTATTTGTGTGTATGTTTGCATATCATTGAGACTAAATGTCAACTCGAGGGAATTTATATAAAAACATAATTCATATACTACTAATTTTGAATAATTGACCTATTTTGTAATGACAAGTAGTGATTTGACTGACTTGCATTAGACACATATATCCTGGCTCAGTTAATGCTGAGATCAATGATAGGAGCATTGAGTTATTTTTATTAATATTTTTTGAATACTTTATTATGTAAAATGTTTCTAACATCTTTCCTAAATCATAGGGGTAATTTCTGAGCCTTTTTTTATGATACTTTTATTTTTAATGTTGAGCTCTTTTCAAATGTGTTAGTCTTGAAGAAAAGAGAATACTGGAACATGAGCTACAAATAATTAGAATTTTTCTTTTTTTTCTTTTCTGTTTCTTTTTCTTTGTTTTATTTTATTTTTAGACAGGATCTCACTCTGTCTCCCAGGCTGGAGTGCAGTTGTGTGATCATGGCTCCCTGTAGCCTCGACCTGTCCAGACTCAAGCAGTCCTCTCACCTCAGCCTCCCAAGTAACTGGGACTACAGGCACACTCCCAGTTATTATTTATTTATTTATTTATTTATTTATTTATTTATTTATTTTTGAGAGACGAGGTTTTACCATGTTGCTCAGGTTGGTTTTAAACTTCTAGGCTGAAGCTATCCAGCCACCTCACTCTCCCAAAGTGCTGGGATTACAGGTGTGAGCTACTGCACCTGGCTGGAATGTTTCTTTAAACTATTCTAATATTCTGCTTATTTTAACTATATTCTCAATATTTTGTAAACTGGATTGATTTTTTTGATAGTAAATTATTTTTCTACTTAATGCTTTAGCACTTGTTGCCATGAATATTTTAAGTTATAAACAAGTTTTTACCATTGTTAGTATGAAAGCAAAATGCAGTTTTTGCATTATGGTGATATCCCTCACCTATAAAAATATATCTTTCTGGCCGGATAAGGTGGCTTATGCCTGTAATTTCAGCACTTTGGGAAGCTGAGGTGGGTGGAACACCTGAGGTCAGGAGTTCGAGACCAGCCTGGCCAACATAGTGAAACCCCATCTCTACTAAAAATACAAAAGCTAGCCGGGTGTGGTGGTGGGAGGAACCTATAATTCCAGCTACTTGGGAGGCTGAGGCAGGAGAATCACTTGAACCCCAGAGGCAAAGGTTGCAGTGAGCCAAGATGGCGCCACTGCACTCCAGCCTGGGAGACAGAGTGAAACTTCACCTCAAAAAAAAAAAAAAAGATAATTAATTAATTAATTAAAAAAATAAAAGTATATCTTTCTGTAGAAATAATAGTGTATGTACTTATGAATTTTCCACTTCTTAAATGGAAATATGTTTAAGGTTATGTGTTTTTTAAATTATGAAACACATTATCACATTAATAAACATTTTTTTAAATAGAAACTTATAATTAAATGGCATGAGTTTCTTAGAAATACTGTAAACAGTTACAAATGTGTTCATTCAGAGAACTATTTGATATTTATTTTCAAATGTAATTCCTACTAAAAGTAGGTTGGCAGCCTTTTTAGTGCTTTATTATTTACTTCAGTTACATTATGAACAAATGAATATTTTCTGTGATTTTTTTATGAATTTTCAAAATAACAAAAAATTATTGCTTATTCTAAATTTTTGACAGTGTATTTATTTAAAAAATCAATTGCTCTAATATTAATATCGAGCTTACTGTTGAAAACAAGCCTGCTTCATTGCCACTCTCCACCAAAGAATTGATTTTTATTTTTTGAAATAGGCTGTCTATATTTAAAAATTTTATTGATTTATTTTTTATTTTCTAATCCATATAGTCAATGAATGTGTAATAACATGAAAATTTTAGTAGCAAAGTAATGTCAGTCACTAGACTTGACAATTTTACATGAATGAAAGCAGTGCTTAGTAAATTGCTGAGTATTTGGGAACAATACTAGTAATTTTTCCCATTATTGCTTAAGAAGGCCACAACTGGGCTGCTCACGTGGACTCAAATGTGAAGATTTGACAGTGTATTTAAAAGCTCCACAATGCAGCTCCTGGTGCCTCATGCTCTGTATTCTCTGAATGCCTGAGGTGACGGAGAGTCACTGGATTACAGAGAAACTAAACTCTAAGAGAACATTTGTTGCTTTGGTGTTACAAATTTCAAATAAGAATGCAGTAAAAAAAGTAGGCTGATGCACTTCCTAGGACAAAATATGAAATGAAGAAATAAGGATCCCAATATTTCCTGGTAATCAAAAATTTTCCTCTGATGCAAATAAAAAGTCTAGTTCACAAGAGAGTAGTGAAATTCAATTTTCATAATAATTTCTGCCTTATTGAAAAAATGCAAAGGTCCCTTGATAAAAGAAATGCAAAATTTTCTATCAAGTAAATGTAAAATATGCTAATGTAGTGATTGGAAAGTCAAGTGCATATGACGGCTGATGCTGGAGATTGCTTTGGTTCCTCATGTTACAGTTTGTGACAAAGATTAAAATTATTTGATACAGTAATCAGTTACCCTTTTGCTTCAAGTTCAATAAAGTGATCTGTCCCATTACCCAACACTTACTCCTACTTTTATTTTTCTTTCTTTTCCTCACGTTTTTGGAGAGGGTTTTCAATTCATTCAATGTCATTTTATTTAGAATGCCGTATGGTTAAAATAAATGTTTTAATTTTAGATTTCTTTCTCTTTCTTTAATTTAAATGATTATATGATGGTTCTTTTTATTTATTTTGTCATAAAAGTAATAGATTAAAATATTGGGGTTGAGCGAATAAACCTAAAATCTCGTGCAAAGACTTGGTGCTATTGGTTCATTTCTATTAGATTATTGAATTTTTTTGTGTGTTAACCTGAACTGATGTAATGTCATATTTAAGCATAGTGAACTATACAATATATAAAATTATTGAAATAGTGCTAACTCATAATTATTCAAACCTAGTATTAAATGCTAGAAACATTTAAAATTATTACATAAATGAATAAAGGAAAATATAATTTTCATAAAGAGGTTTGGATAATAGTTGCATGTCCTTAATTTGAAGGACAAATTGTAGGTGAATAAAATCACTGCTGGCTGGGCACAGGGGCTCACAACTGTAATCCCAGCACTTTGGGAGGCTGAAGCGGGAGGATCACCTGAGGTCAAGAGTTGGAGACTAACATGGTCAACACGGTGAAACCTTGTTTCTATTAAAAATGCAAAAGTTAGCCAGGGGTGGTGGTGCATGCCTGTAATCCCAGCTACTCGGGAGGCTGAGGCAGGAGCATCGCTTGAACCCAGGAAGCGGAGGAGGTTGCAGTGAGCAGAGATCACGCAACTGCACTCCAGCCTAGGCAACAGACTGAGATTCCATCTAAATATATATATATATATATATATATATATATATTATATATATAATATATATATATATATAATATATATATATATAAAATATATATATATATAATATATATATTGCTATATTACACACACACACACACACACACACACATATATATATATATAGCTGTTTTCAAAATGTACTACACTGAGTTTCTATTTTAAGGAACAAAGAAACATGAGTCTATATCCTGAGAACTGAATAGACTTAGTCAAAATATTTCCAGATTTCAAGATCCTGAGAGATGGTCACAAAACCTTGGCATCCTGTAAAGTCTTAAAGGGTGACAAGTTAATCACTTACCTAAATCTCTCTCAAGGACTAACATTCTGATAAACTCAGGATTTCACTCTTCTGGCTTTAGTGAATATTCAACCACTCCTCTACTGTTTTCCTATCCATCACATCCTAATAGATTTCCTCCATTCCAACTAGGACAGGTCTATTATTTTCTCTCACCAGAAATACCTTTGATATTGCTCTACCTTAATATATATACAGTGCTTTTAAGTTTTGTTCAATCTTTCTTCCAACACAGAAGGTAAGCTCTAAGAGAACAGAGTAGATGAATATTACAGGTACATCTCACTACTAAACTGCCATAACAAGAATAGTTCTTGGAACACTTAAATATTTAATTTATTTAATTTAATAAATAAACATTCAACAAATGTTACCTAATTGATAACAATAAATAACCATTTATAATCAATAACAAAGCCGTAGTGTCAACCTTGATAACATGACAGTTTAGTAAGTGCATACCATGTGCCAGATATTCCAAAAGGGTTAGCTCATTTTTTCTTCAATACAACTCTTTTTGGGGTAAAAGTAATTATTCCCAGTTCACGTGTGAAATGAAAACTCTAAGATTAGCTTGACAGAGATGTTTGAAGGTATTACATAGGTCACCCAGAACCTTGCCTCTTTTAAGTATTTGATTAAAAGAATCCAATGGTGATATTCTGAGTATCTCTATTATCATCATATCATGCCATGGATTATCAGTGTTCCTTTTACTCCTGGAAATGCAACACTAATGCTTTTAAATCTAATTAGACTAGGGAACCAATTGCAGAAACCCCAGAGCCAATTTAGAAAATGGGTTTTTAAGATTTTGTTCTTTAAGAACCACTTTTGATTGTCAGGATGAATGAGCAGCCTAAGAACCACTTTTGGTACCAAAATCTGTATCAGTCAGAGTTCTCCAAAGAAACAGAACCAATAGGATGTATGTATGGAGAGAGAGAGAGAGAGAGAGATTGAACTGAATTTATTTTTAAGGAATGGGCTCACATAATTGTGGGGGCTGGCAAGTCCAAAATCTGCAGCATGTGCTGGTAGGCTAGCAGGCTGGAGCTTCAGGGAAAAGTTGATGTTGCAGCTCAACTTCCAAGGCAATCTGGAGGTATAATTCCACTTTCATCAGGAACCTTTGTCTTTTTTTCTCTGAAAACATTCAACTTATTAGATAGCACCCACCACGTTCTGGAGTATAAATGGCTTTACTTCAAAGCTACAATCTAAATGTTAATTTCGTTTAACAAATACCTTCACAGCAACTTTAGGCCAGTGTTTGTCCAAATATCTGAGTTCTGTGACCTAGCCAAGCTGACACATAAAATTAAGCAACACAGGTAGCAGAGCTCAGTTGTGATGGGCCTCCAGAGAAATATCCTCAGAAGGCTTTCAGAATTACCTACCTGAGGGGATAGGAAGCTAGGGCATTCACTCATTAGCCACATCCTCACCCCATTGGTTGAAGTTTACCCTCAGGGGCACTAGACACCCTGTACTTCCCAGCTGTATTTTCATGCTGGACTCAATGACTTTCTATGGCATTGGAGAAGTTCCTGTATAAACTTTATAAAAATCCAGGTGTGGCTGAGCTTGCAGTGTGCTGTCCACAGCAGCTGCAGCTGAAATCATGGCAGGCAGAGAAGATGTGTCTGCCAGAGTTCCAAGTCTATATTTTTAGCCCTGCCCACATTTGCACCTGTAATTTTAATAGGCTAATAATTATCTCGGACATAACATACCCTGATTAACAACAAATTATTTATTTTTCCCACCTGCTGGTCTTCTAGCATTTTCCTTCTCATCAAATGATGCCAACACTCACCAAATTGCTCAGCCTTTAAAGGTGGGAGTGACCCCAATTCTACTCTTTCCTTTGTACTTGCATGTTCTCTTCACTTTACCAGCAATATGCATCCTAAAACCGGATATTTTCCCCATTTCAGCTGCTATCATCCTACTTCCAGTCACTGTCAATTCTTCTTGAACAAACCACAATAGGCTGCAAAATGAGAGTTTCAAGATATAAATCATATCTTGCCATTCCCATGCTCAAAAGATGCCAATGTCTTTCCATCGCAAGTATAGTAAATCCCAAATTGTGTACATGATCTGAGTCCTTTCTGACCCTTCATCACCATCTCCTATTTCTTTCAGCTTCATTTGTTGAATTCCCGTCATATTTCATTCCAATATCTGCTCAAAGTTCACTTTCTCAGCAAGCCTCCCCAGGAACATCTTATCTGAAATTGGATACCTTTTCTTTGCCTCCGATTATCATACTTCATGCTTCACACTGTTTCACTTAGTTTCACACATTTATCAATACCTGAAATTAGATGCATTTATGTCTGTTCTTTTCCCCATTAAAATGTAAGTATACTCAGGGCAAAATTTTACCTTATTCTTGTCTTTATTATCTATGCCTAAAAATGAGAATTGCATACAATTGCAGTAAATTTCAATATATATGTGCAGTAATGATTAAAAGGAAAATTTAAATATTATAGCCTATTTACATATGACATAATTATAATAAAAATAGATTCATTCAAAAAACATAGTGGATATATTTGCAAAAAAAGGAAAATAATTGGAGTATGTAATTACCTTAATCACTTCTGACAACATATGTACAATATTAAAATTTACTAGTAAAGCTATTCTTAATTTATACAGAATTTTAACTTATAACGTCTTTTCACCTAAATTTTATCACTTGATGGTTTAAACACTTTCATACGGGTAAAGAGCCACAATACTATTCAGACATGTATTTTTGTTTATATTGGTTTTATAATTGAAAAAATATGGTTACAGAATTTTGGCACATATTTTTTTCTGCATTTTAAAGTAAAAAATATATGTAATTACTCCTCGTTGTTTTAACAGTTCTTTTCTTAGCAGAATTACTTTTCATTCTCAATATGAATTCTTTCTATGCAAGTATTTGGCATCTTAGACTACATGCAATTCAGCCTCAATTAATCTGTGTTTAATACATTGAGTGAAATGAAAATAGAGAACACTGAAATCTGTAGTAGATTCTGTGCCAGAATTATTATATTAAAGTATCCCAAAAGTAACTCATACTGAGACTAAACAAACTAAAATCAAAAAGCATTTCTCTGACATTAACAATACAAAATTATCCCTTGAATTTATAGCTTATAATTTGACATTCTCAATAGGAAAAACAATACTATTTTGAATGTTTAAACCTAAAGCTTAAGAAAAATAAAGGAGAGTGGAGCCAAGATGGCCGAATAGGAACAGCTCCGGTCTACAGCTCCCAGCGTGAGCGACGCAGAAGACGGGTGATTTCTGCATTTCCATCTGAGGTACCGGGTTCATCTCACTAGGGAGTGCCAGACAGTGGGCGCAGGCCAGTGTGTGTGCGCACCGTGCGCGAGCCGAAGCAGGGCGAGGCATTGCCTCACCTGGGAAGCGCAAGGGGTCAGGGAGTTCCCTTTCCGAGTCAAAGAAAGGGGTGACGGACGCACCTGGAAAATCGGGTCACTCCCACCCGAATATTGCGCTTTTCAGACCGGCTTAAGAAACGGCGCACCACGAGACTGTATCCCACACCTGGCTCAGAGGGTCCTATGCCCACGGAATCTCGCTGATTGCTAGCACAGCAGTCTGAGATCAAACTGCAAGGCGGCAACGAGGCTGGGGGAGGGGCGCCCGCCATTGCCCAGGCTTGCTTAGGTAAACAAAGCAGCCGGGAAGCTCGAACTGGGTGGAGCCCACCACAGCTCAAGGAGGCCTGCCTGCCTCTGTAGGCTCCACCTCTGGGGGCAGGGCACAGACAAACAAAAAGACAGCAGTAACCTCTGCAGACTTAAGTGTCCCTGTCTGACAGCTTTGAAGAGAGCAGTGGTTCTCCCAGCACGCAGCTGGAGATCTGAGAACGGGCAGACTGCCTCCTCAAGTGGGTCCCTGACCCCTGACCCCCCGAGCAGCCTAACTGGGAGGCACCCCCCAGCAGGAGCACACTGACACCTCACACGGCAGGGTATTCCAACAGACCTGCAGCTGAGGGTCCTGTCTGTTAGAAGGAAAACTAACAACCAGAAAGGACATCTACACCGAAAACCCATCTGTACATCACCATCATCAAAGACCAAAAGTAGATAAAACCACAAAGATGGGGAAAAAACAGAACAGAAAAACTGGAAACTCTAAAACGCAGAGCGCCTCTCCTCCTCCAAAGGAACGCAGTTCCTCACCAGCAACAGAACAAAGCTGGATGGAGAATGATTTTGACGAGCTGAGAGAAGAAGGCTTCAGACGATCAAATTACTCTGAGCTACGGGAGGACATTCAAACCAAAGGCAAAGAAGTTGAAAACTTTGAAAAAAATTTAGAAGAATGTATAACTAGAATAACCAATACAGAGAAGTGCTTAAAGGAGCTGATGGAGCTGAAAACCAAGGCTCGAGAACTACGTGAAGAATGCAGAAGCCTCAGGAGCCGATGCAATCAACTGGAAGAAAGGGTATCAGCAATGGAAGATGAAATGAATGAAATGAAGTGAGAAGGGAAGTTTAGAGAAAAAAGAATAAAAAGAAATGAGCAAAGCCTCCAAGAAATATGGGACTATGTGAAAAGACCAAATCTACGTCTGATTGGTGTACCTGAAAGTGATGGGGAGAATGGAACCAAGTTGGAAAACACTCTGCAGGATATTATCCAGGAGAACTTCCCCAATCTAGCAAGGCAGGCCAGCGTTCAGATTCAGGAAATACAGAGAACGCCACAAAGATACTCCTCGAGAAGAGCAACTCCAAGACACATAATTGTCAGATTCACCAAAGTTGAAATGAAGGAAAAAATGTTAAGGGCAGCCAGAGAGAAAGGTCGGGTTACCCTCAAAGGAAAGCCCATCAGACTAACAGCGGATCTCTCGGCAGAAACCCTACAAGCCAGAAGAGAGTGGGGGCCAATATTCAACATTCTTAAAGAAAAGAATTTTCAACCCAGAATTTCATATCCAGCCAAACTAAGCTTCATAAGTGAAGGAGAAATAAAATACTTTATAGACAAGCAAATGCTGAGAGATTTTGTCACCACCAGGCCTGCCCTAAAAGAGCTCCTGAAGGAAGTGCTAAACATGGAAAGGAACAACCGGTACCAGCCGCTGCAAAATCATGCCAAAATGTAAAGACCATCGAGACTAGGAAGAAACTGCATCAACTAATGAGCAAAATCACCAGCTAACATCATAATGACAGGATCAAATTCACACATAACAATATTAACTTTAAATATAAATGGACTAAATTCTGCAATTAAAAGACACAGACTGGCAAGTTGGATAAAGAGTCAAGACCCATCAGTGTGCTGTATTCAGGAAACCCATATCACGTGCAGAGACACATATAGGCTCAAAATAAAAGGATGGAGGAAAATCTACCAAGCCAATGGAAAACAAAAAAAGGCAGGGGTTGCAATCCTAGTCTCTGATAAAACAGACTTTAAACCAACAAAGATCAAAAGAGACAAAGAAGACCATTACATAATGGTAAAGGGATCAATTCAACAAGAGGAGCTAACTATCCTAAATATTTATGCACCCAATACAGGAGCACCCAGATTCATAAAGCAAGTCCTGAGTGACCTACAAAGAGACTTAGACTCCCACACATTAATAATGGGAGACTTTAACACCCCACTGTCAACATTAGACAGATCAATGAGACAGAAAGTCAACAAGGATACCCAGGAATTGAACTCAGCTCTGCACCAAGCAGACCTAATAGACATCTACAGAACTCTCCACCCCAAATCAACAGAATATACATTTTTTTCAGCACCACACCACACCTATTCCAAAATTGACCACATAGTTGGAAGTAAAGCTCTCCTCAGCAAATGTAAAAGAACAGAAATTATAACAAACTATCTCTCAGACCACAGTGCAATCAAACTAGAACTCAGGATTAAGAATCTCACTCAAAGCCGCTCAACTACATGGAAACTGAACAACCTGCTCCTGAATGACTACTGGGTACATAACGAAATGAAGGCAGAAATAAAGATGTTCTTTGAAACCAACGAGAACAAAGACACCACATACCAGAATCTCTGGGACGCATTCAAAGCAGTGTGTAGAGGGAAATTTATAGCACTAAATGCCTACAAGAGAAAGCAGGAAAGATCCAAAATTGACACCCTAACATCACAATTAAAAGAACTAGAAAAGCAAGAGCAAACACATTCAAAAGCTAGCAGAAGACAAGAAATAACTAAAATCTAGAGCAGAACTGAAGGAAATAGAGACACAAAAAACCCTTCAAAAAATCAATGAATCCAGGAGCTGGTTTTTTGAAAGGATCAACAAAATTGATAGACCGCTAGCAAGACTAATAAAGAAAAAAAGAGAGAAGAATCAAATAGACACAATAAAAAATGATAAAGGGGATATCACCACCGATCCCACAGAAATACAGACTACCATCAGAGAATACTACAAACACCTCTACGCAAATAAACTAGAAAATCTAGAAGAAATGGATAAATTCCTCGACACATACACTCTCCCAAGACTAAACCAGGAAGAAGTTGAATCTCTGAATAGACCAATAACAGACTCTGAAATTGTGGCAATAATCAATAGTTTACCAACCAAAAAGAGTCCAGGACCAGATGGATTCACAGCCGAATTCTACCAGAGGTACAAGGAGGAACTGGTACCATTCCTTCTGAAACTATTCCAATCAATAGAAAAAGAGGGAATCCTCCCTAACTCATTTTATGAGGCCAGCATCATTCTGATACCAAAGCCGGGCAGAGACACAACCAAAAAAGAGAATTTTAGACCAATATCCTTGATGAACATTGATGCAAAAATCCTCAATAAAATACTGGCAAACCGAATCCAGCAGCACATCAAAAAGCTTATCCACCATGATCAAGTGGGCTTCATCCCTGGGATGCAAGGCTGGTTCAATATACGCAAATCAATAAATGTAATCCAGCATATAAACAGAGCCAAAGACAAAAACCACATGATTATCTCAATAGATGCAGAAAAAGCCTTTGACAAAATTCAACAACCCTTCATGCTAAAAACTCTCAATAAATTAGGTATTGATGGGACGTATTTCAAAATAATAAGAGCTATCTATGACAAACCCACAGCCAATATCATACTGAATGGGCAAAAACTGGAAGCATTCCCTTTGAAAACTGGCACAAGACAGGGATGCCCTCTCTCACCGCTCCTATTCAACATAGTGTTGGAAGTTCTGGCCAGGGCAATCAGGCAGGAGAAGGAAATAAAGGGTATTCAATTAGGAAAAGAGGAAGTCAAATTGTCCCTGTTTGCAGACGACATGATTGTTTATCTAGAAAACCCCATCGTCTCAGCCGAAAATCTCCTTAAGCTGATAAGCAACTTCAGCAAAGTCTCAGGATACAAAATCAATGTACAAAAATCACAAGCATTCTTATACACCAACAACAGACAAACAGAGAGCCAAATCATGGGTGAACTCCCATTCACAATTGCTTCAAAGAGAATAAAATACCTAGGAATCCAACTTACAAGGGATGTGAAGGACCTCTTCAAGGAGAACTACAAACCACTGCTCAAGGAAATAAAAGAGGACACAAACAAATGGAAGAACATTCCATGCTCATGGGTAGGAAGACTCAATATCGTGAAAATGGCCATACTGCCCAAGGTAATTTACAGATTCAATGCCATCCCCATCAAGCTACCAATGACTTTCTTCACAGAATTGGAAAAAACTACTTTAAAGTTCATATGGAACCAAAAAAGAGCCCGCATCGCCAAGTCAATCCTAAGCCAAAAGAACAAAGCTGGAGGCATCACACTACCTGACTTCAAACTATACTACAAGGCTACAGTAACCAAAACAGCATGGTACTGGTACCAAAACAGAGATATAGATCAATGGAACAGAACAGAGCCCTCAGAAATAATGCCGCATATCTACAACTATCTGATCTTTGACAAACCTGAGAAAAACAAGCAATGGGGAAAGGAATCCCTATTTAATAAATGGTGCTGGGAAAACTGGCTAGCCATATGTAGAAAGCTGAAACTGGATCCCTTCCTTACACCTTATACAAAAATCAATTCAAGATGGATTAAAGATTTAAACGTTAGACCTAAAACCATAAAAACCCTAGAAGAAAACCTAGGCATTACCATTCAGGACATAGGCGTGGGCAAGGACTTCATGTCCAAAACACCAAAAGCAATGGCAACAAAAGCCAAAATTGACAAATGGGATCTAATTAAACTAAAGAGCTTCTGCACAGCAAAAGAAACTACCATCAGAGTGAACAGGCAACCTACAACATGGGAGAAAATTTTCGCAACCTACTCATCTGACAAAGGGCTAATATCCAGAATCTACAATGAACTCAAACAAATTTACAAGAAAAAAACAAACAACCCCATCAAAAAGTGGGCGAAGGACATGAACAGACACTTCTCAAAAGAAGACATTTATGCAGCCAAAAAACACATGAAGAAATGCTCATCATCACTGGCCATCAGAGAAATGCAAATCAAAACCACTATGAGATATCATCTCACACCAGTTAGAATGGCAATCATTAAAAAGTCAGGAAACAACAGGTGCTGGAGAGGATGTGGAGAAATAGGAACACTTTTACACTGTTGGTGGGACTGTAAACTAGTTCAACCATTGTGGAAGTCAGTGTGGCGATTCCTCAGGGATCTAGAACTAGAAATACCATTTGACCCAGCCATCCCATTACTGGGTATATACCCAAATGACTATAAATCATGCTGCTATAAAGACACATGCACACGTATGTTTATTGCGGCACTATTCACAATAGCAAAGACTTGGAACCAACCCAAATGTCCAACAATGATAGACTGGATTAAGAAAATGTGGCACATATACACCATGGAATACTATGCAGCCATAAAAAATGATGAGTTCATGTCCTTTGTAGGGACATGGATGAAATTGGGAACCATCATTCTCAGTAAACTATTGCAAGAACAAAAAACCAAACACCGCATATTCTCACTCATAGGTGGGAATTGAACAGTGAGATCACATGGACACAGGAAGGGGAATATCACACTCTGGGGACTGTGGTGGGGTCGGGGGAGGGGGGAGGGATAGCATTGGGAGATATACCTAATGCTAGATGACACGTTAGTGGGTGCAGCGCACCAGCATGGCACATGTATACATATGTAACTAACCTGCACAATGTGCACATGTACCCTAAAACTTAGAGTATAATAAAAAAAAAAAAATTAAAAAAAAAAAAAGAAAAAGAAAAATAAAGCTGTTTGCTTTATATTAACCTTAATCTTTTGGGTATTAAAACAGGCATTATTACTATATTGATAACTGGTCCATGGTTTGTACACAATACTTGTAGGATGCATGAATAAATGAGTTGGAAAGTAAAGATCTTTAGTCTTTTGCCTTGTGAGTGGTCCAAATGCCAACTCTTTCTTTCCTGCCAACTTGAATTTTGGTGAAGTAACTTGAGGAGTAAGACAGAGTTCTAAAAATTGTCTTAAATGGCAAATTTTAAACTTTCCCTTTAGAATTTCAGAGACTCTTCTAATGCAGTCTCCTTAGTGTCATGTTGACCTAATGGCCTATATATGTCTATTTTTTATGTAAAATCTTCTCATTAGCCTTAATAACATAATATTAGAGAGATTCATATAAATTCCTCTTACACTTACAGAACTTGTCAATAAATGTCTCCTCGTTTTTAACAAGATTTTTAAAATCCATTCTTCTTTCATGTTTAGTTTTTTGTTTTGTTTTGTTTTTTCTCCCTCTCTGTCCCCTAACTCATCAACATTTTGCCACCACTACCACTTAGGTATGCAATCTGAGTAAGATATCAGTGAGTCAAGATATTGCAAAGAATCACATTTTCAAATGCCACACCTCATTTCAGACACATACCAAGTATGATTTCTGTTATCAATCCAGGTCTTTTTTGCCTAACTTGGTTTCAGGTTCCATTTGACCATTAAGTGTTTCAATGTTATGCTATTTTCCTCTAGGCATCATCATTTTCTCAAGTTTCATTTATTTCTACTTTTTTCAAACCAAGGAGTGAAACTGATAGTTTTGAACACCCCTAGATGCTATCTTCAGCTCCACGGTGTAGCATCATCACCATCCTACATCTGCACAACACCATCCTGCACAAATCTGCCGCTCCATATGTCGCATCGTGCAAGGAGATTACAATGGCTTGAATTTGGAACACACTCAGAGATTCCCTGGAGACATTCCACAGGAAAAAAATACTGCTCAATCCAACATTTAAATCTTTGCCTAGAGCTACCCCACTCCAAAGAGAAATATAATGAGGATGAAAACACAAGCCCCCAAATTCAATTGCCGCATTTTTTTTCCTCTTTTGAGGAGTGTCTCCTCTTCTCCTTGTTGTGGTTTCTTTTTGTTGATACTGGCAGTTGCCAGATGGGCTTTATTTTTAAATTTAAATACTTTATTTTATGGCAGTGTTGTCCATTGCGTCTTATTCAATGCCAGCTTTTATTCCTTTAAAACACAAATGTTTGGCACATCCTTACATTAAGGATTAGAGACAAGAAACTTACATGGGGGAAATAAGAAAAGCATACATTTCTATCACCCTAAAATTGAGAGAAACTTAAGCATAGAATGATTATTCAAGGGAACCTTTGAAACTAGCTATGCTTTTATTTCCATCACAACCAGCGGATAAACTGCTCACAGTATGTGGGCAACTAGTGAAATCTAAAAGGTAAGCTATAAAAAAGAGGCTCAACAATGCAGAGAACAGAGATATCTCAAAAACAAGGCTGATATGTCTCAGCACCCATACTGCTGCCTTATCAGCACATGATTAATTGGCAGAAACTATGACAGGCGTAAGGATATTGACATTTAGAAGGTCATTTACTCATAACAAAAATATTATTCAACTTGCAAATATAAACAAATAATCTATTGTGTAGAAATACTTTTTTTCTTATATGAGTATATGGATAACCTAATGTTTATTGATAATGATGTAGTTTATTGTTTGATGTATATAATTTTCAATAATGTTATTTAAATCTAAGTTGGTGGACCAGTTAATTTAAATATTATATATATATATACATATATATGTAATATTCTGATAAAGACCAGTTCCTTTGTGTATGCAAACTATTATCTGAGTTTCAGCTAGAATCCTGGTGTGAGTAAACTAGCCTCTCATCATATCCTTCTGGTACTGAAAATTCTTCCTTTTAAAAATCTATTTATCCACTGATCATCAGTACAAACACACTTCAATTCTGTCTCTCATCTTCATTTAGAGTACAGTTACCTGACAATTTCAACATTCAGGATATGTTTCACAAGGAAGAGAGAGTCATTGGCCTCTAAGCTATAATATAACCATAATAAATCTCCACACTAAAGATTGTGTAGTCTTTTGCAAATACTTTCACCTTTGTCCTCACCCACTCCTCCCCAAAATATTCTCTCTGCTTGGAGATTAATTTTACTCCTTTTAGAACTCAACAAAAGTGCTTCTCTGACTCACAGAAGCAAACTGAGTTGCTCCCTCCTCTGCCTTGCCATTTCTTGTCTATTATACCTTTTATCTTCAGTATGTATTTCTTTTTAATTATACTAAAGTACAAGCATTAATGGTCAGAAGAAAAGTATTTATATTTGCCAAAATAATTATCTACTGCATAGAAAGAGCTCAATAATAATTAATTAAGTAGTTAGTGCATATAATGAATTAAAAAGTATCAGGTTCATACTTAGAGATTATTGACCTTTTCACAGTTCTATCATATTGGATTTTATAAACAGATAAGAGAAAAAATATGTGATGCTTTTAGACAAGAGGTAGAGTTTGGGGAATTATTAAGTAGAGATGCAATGGTAATATATTTTTTTAAATGACAGTGGTCATTGTGAGACAGGAATATCAAAGGCAAAAAGTGAATAAAAAATAAATTACAGGCTATTGCAATGGAATATGATCACTGAAGTTCAAAATTACAGTCCATAATCATCAAGCATATTAATGCAGTGAAGTGGGCAACAAAGAGGACAACAGACAGACATTTGACTACTTCGTTCTGTCATTTTTGTATATGACAAATTCTGAAAAAAAACCATCATTTCTATGAACACTATGGTGTTTGGAATTTTTGAGTGAGAAATATGACAATGAATTGTGGTGTTACAAAAGTAAAGTTGTCTTGGTAATATATGAATCACATGGGAGAAGTACTATACAATGGCCAAAGACTATTTCTCTAGGAAGATAAGTGTTTTTTTTATTGTTTTTGTTTTTGTTTTGTTTTGTTGTTTGCTTTTAAGGCACAATAGTACAAGAAATATTGTTCTAGAATTGTTGTGCATTGAATACAGAAGAGTTACTGTTCATGTTTAAAATTTCAGCAAGACTTTGTTGTTCTATTCAGTTCACCTTTATAGGCATCAGGTTATGGAGCACTTCAGACAATATAGGAAGATTGAGAAGGAGGTAGGAACCTGATAAGATAGGTTGAGTCTTGAAGTAACCAGCAACTTAATTAACTGAAGAAGATAGTTAACTAAGAAAAAAAAAAAAAAAAAAAAAGCAGGCTGCTCCTACCCAGAAACACTCTCAGGATTGTTGGACAGTGTCACTAAGTGATTTTCTTTGTCCTCCTCTTGCTTATTCTCTGGTTTTTTCAAAACCAAGAGAAAAATGGCTGAGTTGAAGATGGTGTTTGCAACACAATCTGGAGAGTTATTGACATACAAACCACTCCCTCTGTGTAGACTTGCTCTAAAAGAGATGCTCACTCATGATCTAGCCACTGCCACTGAACCAGCAAGGTCTATGCCTGAAAGAGCAGAGCAGAATTTCTTCAGTTAAAAAAAAAAGTGTCATTAGAGTTTAATAATATTTTATAATTTAGTGTTCTATTGATCCATAATAGTTTCCTTAGTTCAAAGATCAGTCTTGCATTAACAAAATGAAAAGAAAAACTCCTTTCACCATTTGCCCTCATGACCCCTGGCTGCCATTTTCCTCAATCTGTAATTATTTTATAGTTAATAAAAGAGTTCTCTCTAAAACTTTTGCTTGCGGCTCAGGGTCTGAACTCATGCTGCTGATTATACTACTTAACCTGAAAAGAGGAAAAGCTTAATTATACTCTATAAGCACTTCTAAAATTATTTTATTAAATAGGTGGCTAACCAAAATCTATTTCTTTGAGAAAAAAAAAAAGTGAAAGAAAATTGACTTGAATTTTGAATAGCAAGAGAAGTTTAGTGCATATAAAGTAAATATATTTTTAAATGGAAGGATGACTAAATATTGACTATTATAGATGTGAAACATAATTAGATATGCTCTCTTTTTCAATACAAATTTAAGTAAAATAGAATAACACATGATTCACTTTTGAAAATAACTTTGCATGAAGGAATGCTTTTAGATTTTATCCTAAATTAACAAGTGGATGGCCATCTTTTGTTTGTTTGTTTGTTTGAGACGGAGTCTCGCTCTGTCGCCCAGGCTGGAGTGCAGTGGCGCTATCTCGGCTCACTGCAAGCTCCGCATCCTGGGTTCGCAACATTCTCCTGCCTCAGCCTCCCGAGTAGCTAGGATTATAGGCGCCCACCACTACACCCGGCTATTTTGTTGTATTTTTAGTAGAGACGGGGTTTCACCGTGTTAGCCAGGATGGTCTCGATCTCCCGACCTCGTGATCCACCCGCCTCGGCCTCCCAAAGTGCTGGGATTACAGGCGTGAGCCACCACGCCTGACCAGGGATGGACATCTTTATATACCAACTAGAGTAATTATAAGAAGCACAATAAGGTAAGAGTCGGCAGTAAATGAACAAAAATTTGCAGAAAAACTTACTTACTGTAGCTACATCTTTAATTAACAAAAATACCTACAACTACATTTTAACAAGCACAGTTTTACTAACAATATGTATCTTCAATTTTGCACAGAAACATACTTCATTATAAAACCATAGAAGAAAACCTCAGTGTTGTATAGAAAGCCTTTTGCTCCTTTGAGTAAATTGATGGAGAAAGAAATATGTCTTCATGGAGCTGATAGGATATAAGATAAGTTAACTTAAATATAGCTGACATTCAGTTTTCACTAACTTTCTCCCTTATCTCTACAAATAAACTAGGCCTGGTGCAGTAGTTCCCACCTGTAATCTCAGCACTTCCAGAGGCCAAGAGAGACAAACTGCTTGAGTCAAGGAGTTTGAAACCAGTCTTGGCAACATGGTGAAACCCTGCCTTTACAAAAAATACAAAAACTTAGCTGGCATGGTGGTGTGCCAGGTACTCAGGAGGCTGACACGGGAGGACAGCTTGAGCCAAGGAGGCAGAGGCTTCAGTGAGCCGAGATTGAGCCACTGCACTCTAGCCTCGGTGACAGAGTGAGACCCTGTCTCAAAAATAATATATATATATATATATAAACTAACTGCTCTGCATTCTCAAAAATTCTTGTGTCAACAGTGCATTTACTTCAAAGTTGTTTTTTTTTTTTAATCAAATACCTGAAAATACGTTACTCCTCAAGGGTCAACTAAAAATTTAACCTAGGCTATATCAAGCTATTTTTGTATATAGCAATTTTACTCCATTGACCTGAGAGTCAAAACAGAAAATTTAATGTAACATATTTAAATATTACGTCAATATTTATGTATTTATTTCATTTAGAAATGATTCTCCCTCTTACAGATAATGACAAGGTAAAGAAAGTGGTAATTTTTGCAATCCCCCTTTATCCTTACCTCTCCTTGGCTCTCGGACCATCTCCTACTACACTTCTGCACTGTGTCAGCTACTCCATTCTTAAGTAAGAAAGCCCTCTCCATTACCTCCTGGTACCATGTGTCTTTTTTTTTTTTTTCTGGGAGGCAGAGTCTCGCTCTGTTGCCCAGCCTGGAGTGCAGTGCCATGATTTCGGCTCACTGCAATCTCTGCCTCCCGGGCTCAAGTGATTCTCCTGCCTCAGCCTCCTGAGTAGCTGGGACTACAGGCGTGTGCCACCACGCTCAGCTAATTTTTGATTTTTAGTAGAGATGGGGTTTCACAATGTTGGCCAGAATGGTCTCATTCTCCTGACCTCGTGATCCGCCTGCCTTGGCCTCCAAAATTGCTAAGATTACAAGCATGAGCCACTGTGCCCAGCCAGTACCATGTGCCTTTAACAGCTTGTAATACAGTGTCTACATACCCTACACTTCAAGTAGCCTATGAGCACCATGATGACACATGCATTTTACTAACATTTGCATCCTCACTGCAAATGGAGTTAAGAACACATCACAGGATTTCTATTCTTTTAATGTAGTATGAACATTTTGAATGAATCAAGCAATGTGATTAGTATTTTATCTTTCCTAGGTAACACAAACAATGTTTTTAAAATATCTTTTACTTGGAGGGACTCTTTAATGAAATAAAGGCAAAGAGTTACATGTATCAAGGCAGAACATTTCAAAAGACGTTTTCCCACAATATTAGATCAAATTCCTGCAAATCAAATTACTTAGATATCAATTTCTTGGTAACTATTTATAGTTCCTGCATTTTCTCTAGTAATCAATTGATAAGAGATAGCTAACTATTAACTGAAGTGTCAGGATAGAGGAGATAAAGAGAGGTATACACTGTTCAATTTGATATTTTAAGTATATAAATTTTTTGTTTATCTAATAGCATGCAAATATTTCCAAGTTGCTACTACAAGAGATATTTTTAAAAAGGTAAGTTTTGTAACATTTAAAAATTCTCTGCTAACATAGAATAAATTAAAAACCCCTAAAAGTAGTACAGAAATACTACATATTTCAACTTGTAATCTAAAATATATACAAGTAAAATTATTAAAGGTGCAACTATTCAAATTATAACAGATTAGATGAAATCCTATACTTACAGGTTGTATTAGTCAGGGTTCTCTAGAGGGACAGAACTAATGGAATAGATGCATCTATCTATCTATCTCTCTATCTATCTCTCTATCTATCTATCTATCTATCTATCTCTCTATATCCACCTATAAAGCAGAGTTTATTTAGTGTTATCTAACAAGATCACAAGGTCCCACAACAGACCGTCTGCAGGTTGAGGAGCAAGGAGAGCCAGTCCAAGTTCCAAAAGTGAAGAACTTTGAGTCTGGTGTTTGAAGGCAGGAAGCATCCAGCACAGGAGAAAGATGTAGGCTGGGAGGCTAGACCAGTCTCTCTTTCACATTTTTCTGCCTGCTTGTATTTTAGCCTTGCTGACAGCTGATTAGATTGTGTCCACTCAGATTAAGGGTGGGTCTGCCTTTCCCAGCCCATTGATTCAAATGTTAATCTCCTTTAGCAACACCCTCAGGGCCACACCCAGGATCAATACTTTGTATCCTTCAATCCTATCAAGTTGACACTCAGTATTGACCATCACATAGGTATATACTAGAAAAAGCGAGAGAGAGAGTAAATGCCTCAACTTCCACATCTATCTTTGCATGGCCTGGGTAAGATGGCTATAAAGCATCCCTTACTCTTTGCAGCGTGCATTTTAGGTGTGTGAACAGTGTCCTCCAGTGTGTGTGATGAGCAGCTGCTGGAAGGCTGTAGCGTGCTGAGACAGACCAATGGCATCCCAGGTGTAGGGACTTGGCCATCTGGCTTCCCACTATGTTTGCAGATTTGTGGTCATCTTGAGATAAGTGTAACATTTCTCCTTTTATAGCACATACATAAAAAAAGTCAGTCTTTCAAGGTTATTCTGATCAGATTTGTGTCAACCAAACATCAGAGTGCTTAGGGATTTGACAGTAGTGAAGGTTGTTACGTAGTTTCTTATTTCTTACATAAGAAAAAGGATCATTACTAGCTCCCATATGAAATATAGCAGTAACATTAAAAAGTTGCATTTCAACCCATCAATAATTTGCCTCAATTTCTTTATTTTGAAATGTGAAAATCATTTTCAAGAATGTAGCAAATTTCACAAAATCATCAACATGGATGATCCATTACCTCAAATTATCCAATAACAGACAGAACATTTATATGTGTCACTGTGAAGAAGAAAAATGTCAGACATTGACGAATCCTGTCTACACGCTCTTAGATAAATGTATAGGTCAAAGGAAATACCCTTCTCAATACCAGGGTGGGTATTGTTAAAGAAGATTCAAAGATATTTTTGTCCATCTGTTCTTGTCCACCCACCCACACCTCTTCTCTCCTCTCTCATTTGTGTACTCTTCTGAATACTATGGTTCCATAGATCATTCTTTTATTATAATGGCAAATGATGCCTGCACATTATTTAATCCAATTTGAAAAAAAAATTGAATTCAAAATTAGAATATCTGAATGCAATCTCATAAGCACAGTTATTTTATTTTTGCTTCATAAAGGGAAGTTTCCTTGACTGTAGTAAAGTGTAGATGTTGAAATATATGCACATCATGTAGCCTCAAGCTCCCAGACTTCCGAGTGCCACTCCCCTCTCTAATACTTGTCCAGCAGAGGTTCACCCACTAAGTCTCCTTCCTACCTGTATGCAGGGAGTCCATGCTTTTTTTCACCCATTTTTCCTCTCCTCTCCTCTCCCCTCCCCTCCCCTGCCTTGTCTTTTCCTCTCCTCCCCTCCCCTCTCCTTCCCCTACCTTCTCCTCTCCTTCCGTCTTCTTCCTGATGTTGTTGCACAGGCACATCTATTGACTATTGCTGAAAACCCCAAGAGAATTCTTCTTCCTCACATGTATTATCACTTCTGTGGATTGCTGCTCCAGGCGTCTCTTATAACCACCACATGGCAATTAGTTGACTAATTTAGGTCCCACTCTTATAATTAAAACTACAGCAGTTATTTCCCTGCAGTATACCTTGGTCTCCCTGATACACACACACCTTTTTTTTTTTTTTTTTAAGAGATAGGTTCCCACTCTGTCATCCAGGCTAGAGTGCAGTGGTGCCATTATATAATATAATATTGGTGCCATATATAATATAATATATATATATATATATATATTATAACCTCAAACTCCTGGGCTTAAATGATTCTCCTACCTCAGCCTCCCTAATAGTTGGGACTACAGGCATGCACCACTTGGACAATTTAAAAAAATATATATTAGAGATAAGATCTTCCCACATTGCCCAGCCTTATTTCAAACTCCTGGCCTCAAGCAATCCTACAGCTTTGATCTCCTAAAGCGCTGGGATTGCAGGCATGAGCTGCTGAGTCTGGCCCAGTGTTTTAAAGAGTATATTAAGATAAAAAATGCATTTTCCAATGTATATTCAGTATTTTAAAGTCAACTTTATTATAATTTTGTTGATAGTTACCTGCATCATTTTAAATCGTGAATACACACACACCATACACACATTATATACTAAAGTCTATGATTCATTTCACTTTTCTCATAATTTATAATTAAAATGATCAATGTATTTACACAAAAGGAAGATGTTCACATCATTTTCTTTGGTAAATGGGAATTTATTTTGTTTGAATTAGTGCTTGAATATCTAACCATATTGTTTAGGGGACTCTGGGGATTTTACACTTACTTCTTCAAATAAAAATTGATCAAGGTTGAATATCAAAGGAAATATAGAAAACAATTTAAATATGTTTGGTCTAGAAGCTTCAAAAGTATACAGTAGTAGGTGAGACTTCTAGTTAGAATTTAGTGTGGATTTCTAGGTGTTTGGCACTATGTAACTACATGAGCAATAATTGGCCCAAAATTTGTAGAGTTCTATTAGGAATATCAACTGATAAATGTTTTAGTAAAATGAAATGTAACCATTTATTTATTGTATTCAATAAATATATTAAGTCCTATATATTGAATATATTTATTAATTCTACAATTTAATATCTGCTTATGTTTTCCTATCTGGTCAATGTTACTTTTGGTTTGCTTTCTTCTATGTTTTTCTTTTTAATGTAAGATCTAAGTATATATTTATTATAGAGTGATAAAAGCTCATGTAAATTGTTATTTCCAGCTATAATACATAAATATTTAAGTATAATTGGTGCTTGAAAATTTTCAAAGTAAAATGGAATTTTGAATCAAATAACTTTATAATTCAGTTTGTTTGTAATCCTTATCATAATTGAGCATAAATTTTTCTTTGTCCTCTGAGTCAGCCAATGGGATTTGACTCTTTCACACTGTGGTTTGAAAAGGATTTCTATCTTACAGTATCTAAAGATGAAACTATTAACATTATTTATTAAATAATGGTATTTAATACATGTATGGTATTTTATACATGTATGTATGGTATTTTATACATGCATGGGGTAATGGTATTTTATACATGTATTTTATACATGTATGGGGTAATTATCATTAGTAATTATGCAATCATTCCCATAATCAAATAGGAACAAGGTTAGTAGGATTACATTTAAATGTAATTCATTATATATGAAAACTCAATAAGCAAGGACTGAATTTGTTAAATGTGCCATTATTGAAAGAGAACACATTGAAAATTGAGCAGTAGAACCATCAGTTGATTCTTTTTCTTTTTCTGTTTTTTTTTTTTTTTTTTTTGCTTTTTGTGTCATCAACAATTATATATATTATTTGGGTGTACATCAATATTTTTGGTGATAAATATCTGTAGAAAATCTATGTGATAATAAATAAGCACTCCTCTTGTTACTTGTATACATTTAACTTGTTAACATTGTTAAGACAATTCCATTTAGAAAACGCAAATAATAGGTCTTTCAACTTGCTTTGCAGACAATCTCTAACCTGAATTGCTTTAAAGTATTTCAGTTTTTGGGTTAAAAATTATTGACACTGCCATTAATATTCTCTCTGGTAGAAATAGTCACAGGATTTTTTTCTATTTTCTTCAAATACAGTCAGCTGTGGCTTCCTTCAAGCCTGCTAACCAACCCTGCATAGAGGAGCTATGTCTGACCAAGTTGTAAGAGAAATGATACTGCAATCACCCCTGGTATTCCATGTGTAAAAACAGCCTTAGGCTCTTCTCCTAATACATGCTGTTAACACTTGTATATTGCTATTACATGAGATAATGGAATTTTTTTTAAGAAAAAAAAAAAAGCTAGGGAGTTTTACCCATTAAAATCCTATTAGGGAAATCACAAAAGTTCTTTTGTACCCAGGGCTGGCCATAGGCAAAATCCTGAAGTTGGCACTTGTTCTGGGCCCTGTGCAGTGTTCTAGTCTTAATATCTGTGGAACAAATTTGTAAGGTACAAAATAATAAGGGCTTAAGATGTTATCTCACCCAATAGTCCCAGTATTTTTATAAAAAACTAACAAGGCAAAATATTTGATGATTTTTTGTGTGTATTGGCAAATAGCATCACTTCCCACTCAATTGCCCAGTATATGTGACACAATTTGAATCTATGTCCCCACCAAATCTCATGTCAAACTGTAGTCCCCAAGGTTGTAGGTGGTGCCTGGTGGGAGGTGGTTGGATCATGGGGGTGTATTTCTCATAAATGGTTTAGCACCATTCCTTTGGTGCTGTTCTCATGGTAGTAAGTTCTCAGGAGATCTGGTTTTTGAAAGGGTGTAGCACCTCCCTCCTCACTTGTGCTCTTCCTCCTAGTCCCACCATGTGAGATGTCTTGCTCCCTCTTGCCTTCTGCCATGATTGGAATCTTCCTGAGACCTCCTAAAAAGCAGATGCTGCCATGCTTCTGTGAAAGGAAAATAAATCTGGGGACTCCAAAATCACTCAGCTAAAGGGAATAGTCAGGCTGGGAACTGTTTAGGGCAAACCTGCCTCCCATTCCAATCAAACTCATCCCTCTGCTCACTGAGATAAATGCATATCTAATTGCCCCCTTTGGAGAGACTAATCAGAAACTCAAAAAAGCAACAATTTGTCTTTCATCTATCTATGACCTGGAAGCCCCCCTCCCAAATTTGAGTTGTTCTGCCTTTGCTTTGAGCTGTCCCACCTCTCTGGACCAAATGAATGTTCAACTAACATATTTTGATTGATGTCTCATGTCTTTCTAAAATGTATAAAACCAGACTGTGTTTGGAGCACCTTGGATAGATGTCCTCAGGAGCTCCTGAGGCTATGTCATGGGTGTACATCCTTAACTTTGGCAAAATAAACTTCCTAAATTGACTGAGACCTGTCTCAGGTATTCAGTATTTACACTCCCTGTACAGACAGCAGAGCCATGTGTCAATTAAACCTATTTTCTTATAAATTACCCAATATCAGGTATTTATTTATAGTAATGTGAGAATGGACTAATGCAGAATATTGGAACCAAGGAGTGGGGCATTGCTATAAGGAGACCTGAAAATGTGGAAGTACCTTTGGAACTGAGTACTGGGCAGTGGTTGGAAGAGTCTTGAGGGCTCAAAAGAAAAGAGAAAGATCAGGAAAAGTTTGGATCTTCTTAGAGACCAATTAGGTAATTATGAACAAAATGCTGGTAGTAATATGAATAGTGAAGGCCAGGCTAATGAGGTCTCAGATGGAAATGAGGAACTTTTTGGGAACTTTAGTGAAGGTCACATTTTTTTTAATGCCTTAGCAAAGAACTGGGGTGCATTGTGCCCTGCCCTCGGGATCTGTGGAATATTAAACTTGAGAGTGATAATTTAGGGTATCTGGCAGAAGAAATACCTAAGTAGCAGAGCTTTCAAGATGTTGCCTGACTGCTTCTAACAACCTATCTCATATGCATGAGCAAAGAAATGACCTAAAGTTGTAAATGATATTTAAAGCGGAGCCAGAGCACAAAAGTTTGGAAAATTTGCAGCCTGGCAATGTTGTAGAAAAGAAAAGCCCACTTTCAAAGGAGGAATTCAAAAAGCATGCAGAAATTTTCCTAAGTAAAAAGAAGCCAAGTGATGACAGCCAAGACAATAGGGGAAAAGGCCTAAGAGGCACTTCAGAGAACTTCATGGCAGCCCCTCCCATCACAGGCCCAGAGGCCTAGGAGGAAAGAATGGATTCATGAGCCAGGCCCAGAGCCCTGCAGCCCTGCACAGCCCCAGGATACTGCTCCTTTCATCCCAGTCACTCCAGCTCCAGCTCTGGGTCAAAGGGGGCCCAGGTACAGCTCACATCACTGCTTTATAAGGTGTGAGCTTTAAGCCTTGGCAGCTTCCATGTGGTGTTAAACCTGCAAGTGCACAGAGTATAAGAACTGAGGTTTGGGAGCCTCTGCCAAAATTTCAGAAGGCTGCTTCAGGTGTGTTGCCCTCATGGAGAAATTCTATTAGGGCAGTGCAGAGTGGACATGTGGGGTTGGTGCCGCCATATAGAGTACCCACTGGGGCACTGCCTAGTAGGACTATGAGAAGAGGGCCACCATCCTCCAGACCCAGAATGGTAGATGCGCTGACAGCTGGGAAAGCCACAGGCACTCAATGCCAGCCTGTGAGAGCAGCCATGGTGGCCCAACCCACCAAAGTCACAGGGGTGGAGCTGCCCAAGCCCTAGGGAACCCACCTGCCATATCAGTATGCCCTGGATGATGTGGGGCATGGTGTTAAAGGAGATTATTTTGGAGCTTTAGGATTTAATGACTGTCCTGCTGGGTTTTGGATTTACACTGGGCCTGTGGCTGCTTTCTTTTGGCCAGTTTATTTTCGCCTTTCAGAATAATAGTACTTACCCATTGCCAGTATCCCAATTGTATATTGGAAGTAACTAACCTGATTTTTTTTTTAATTTACAGGCTTGTAGGTGGAAGGGACTTGCCTTGTCTGTAATGAGACTTTGAACTTCAGACTTTTGAGTTAATGCTACAGTGAGTTAAGACTTTGGGAATAAGTGGGAAAGCATTATTTTATTTTGAAATGTGAGAAGGACATGAGATTTGGGGGAGCCAAGGGTGGAATAATATAATTTGGATCTGTGTTCACACCAAAGCTAATGTCAAACTGTAGTCCCCAATGTTGGAAGTGGGACCTGATGGGAGGTGGTTGGATCATGGGGGTAGATTTCTCACGAATGGTTTAGCATTATCCCTTTGGAGCTGTTCTCATGATGGTGAGTGAGTTCTTGTGACATACGCTGTTTGTGAAACCCCATCTCTACCAAAAATACAAAAATATTAGCCAGGCGTGGTGGCCAGTGCCTGTAGTTCCAGCTACTCAGGAGGTTGAGGCAGGATAATGGCATGAACCTGGGAGGCGGAGCTTGCAGTGAGCCAAGATCATGCCACTGCACTCCAGCCTGGGCAACAGAGTGAGACTCTGTCTCAAAAAAAAAAAAAAAAAAATTGTGCAGCACTTTCCCCGTTGCTCTCTTTCTTGCCCCTGTTGCTGCCTTGTGAGACACCTTGCTTCCCCTTTGCCTTCTGCCATGATTGGAATCTTCTTGAGGCCTCCCCAGAAAAAAATGCTACCGTGCTTCCTGTATAGCCTGCACAATCATGAGCTAATTAAACCTATTCTTTTAAATAACCCAGTTTCAGCTATTTTTTATAGCAATTTGAGAATGAACTAATACAACATATTTGGACTTTTTTGACACTTCATCTTCATGATCATATGCAGCTGTTATCAAGTCCCGTTGATTCTCCATCCTAATGATGTCTTATGTTTCCCCTTCTCTTTTTCACACACTAATAGTGCTTTATTTCATACGGTCATAATATCTCATGAAACTGTTATAATACCCACCCACACAATCTCTACCTCTAGGCTTCTACTCCAATCTGTCTTCTACAGTTCCTCCATAGTTGCATCTCTAAAGTACAAATATGACCAAATTGCTCCTATTTAAATTTCATTCATTAGCTTTTTACATCTTCACATTTTTTTTTAATCTGGCCTATTTTCCCCCTACATTGACAACTCAGCTCTATGGAAACACTAGATGTGCACATACAACAGATTATTTTATCTCGTCTTTTTTTCTAGTTGTTTTTATTTAATTACTTCTTTGTTTTTTGTTATTTTCTGTGCTTGGAATTTCCTGTTCCTAACTCTCTTTGCCAGTCTGGATTGAAACAATTCAAATATATTATAATCTGCAGACTCTGCAGTGAGTGAATACTTACTATTCTTTGAATCACCAACACTTGTTTCTAACACACTGAATGAACAAATAGATGGATGAGATAAAACCAAAGGAAAGTATTTCAAACAGTGCCCAGGTGGTGAGGACCTTACATGGCCAGGTGTTGCCATACTGCAGTGAGTAATGTTGTAATCAATAGCAGTACATTTTCAGAAGAAAAAAAAATCTGTGCAGGTCACATGTTAATATGTTTCTAAATGACTAATCGGTTGAAAAATGTTCTTTACTTCTCTTTTTAGTACAGATATTTTGATTTTGAATCTGTGTTTCATGGGATAGCTGAGTAGTTCAGTACATTTTAAGTTCACTTGTTTTCAAGTTGGATAGACGCTGAAGGCTCCAGTCCTCCTTCTACTTTCAGGACTAGGGCAACATAGGAAAAACTGACACAGATAAAGAAGGGAGAGATTTGTGAATGAGTTTCATAAAATTAGTTAGGGAGGGATAGGGGTTGAATGAGAGATAGGAGTGTCTGTTAAAGGTCCACTAACCCAAATTATAAGTACAAAACCCTGAGCATTTATCAAATAATTTAATACAAGTGTTTTATTTATTTAATTCCATGACTAGGTTTCCTTTGCTCTGATAAAATGATTAATTCTTTGTGCCAATCTTATTTGACAAGATTCAAGAATACATTTCATATGATATTTTCTTTCCACTGTGTTTTGTTTTTTCATTAATAAGATGACATGTGGTTTTTAAATCAAGAAAACTTAAAAGCATAAAAATTAATGTAATCTTCTCTACTGCTGTGAGACAGATTCAATTATTCTACCACTCTTTACACTTTATTTTCACATGAATTTGGACAGCTATCTTGCAGTGTCAAATGTGATCAGGTAGATTTATGCCTCTCTTTGTCTTTTGTGGACTCTGTGAGAAAGAATATAATACCTCATCTATTTTACTACCCTAAACTCTACCCTAATCTTGCATGGGTAGAGAAAAATTCTAGCATGCATAACTTAGGGAGAAATTATGTCAAGGGAGAATTGGGGAAGATCAGACATTTAGAATGACGCTAGTTTCAGAAGACCTCTAGTGGTTTTATCCTGGTCTTGCCCTACCACAGCTTCTGCTCATATCTTTTTCAAATATCCTTAACAACCAACAGTATCTTAAAAATTGTTGAAAGGGTATAAATCTTGAAGAAAGAACTCTAGCATATCAACTATATCATTTACTGTCTTTCTCCTGTCCTCATGTGCTTCTTTGGTAAGCACATTTGGTAAGCATTTGCTTATTAAGTGATGCTCTTATTTATGAATCATTCCATTAATTGGCTGAAACCTGGTGATCTTGAACACAATTATCTGCATCTGAACAAGAGCAGCTAAGCTTCCTTTGACTAGAGTCTTCTAATTAGATAGTAAGAATATACCTGTACTTTTACATCATAAATCAAGTTTCCAGCAATGTTATTACATTTCCTGGTATAAATTCACTTTCTACTTCTCCAGACAACTAAACTCACAACTTCTTTACTCTCTCCAAAGGTCATCATATTAATTTTCTTTAAACCCAAACACCAAACTTGACATGGTCAGCTCATATGATTGAATCATATACCTTAGTGAAAAAGTTAGAAGTAATTGGTCCAATTTTCTTATTTTCCCAAGACTACCTCTATAAATCCTTTACTGTTTATACCTATATTTTCTGTGCTTCTAACTATTTCAATAAAAGAAATTTCTGATCTTGCATCAGAGTTAAGCCCCTTGATTTGCACTCTAAATTTCATCCTCTATAATCTACTCTGGAATATTTTCTTCTACATTGTCCAGTTCTCCCACTCCATTAAAATACTTCCACTATTGCTGATATAAAAACAACAAAAAATACTTAAATACATTAAGGTCTTAAAACGAACACTGATATTCTCTGCTCTCCTCTTTTAAAAAGTGACTAAAGTCCATATCTCCATTTTCTCATCTGCTTATTTATTCATTCTTACTTTCCATTTTTTACTCCAGTAAAACTCTGTATATTTTCTGGCCACACTTGAATATAAGCTCTATAAAGGCAGGACTTATATATATCTTGTTCACAATTCAAATTCAAGGTGTGGAGGGTGCCAAGCCCATAGTAAATATTTGCAATATTTGTCAATTGAATCCATGAGTTCATGCATGCACCAAGACTGTTTTAACCAAAATTAAACAATATTTATTTAATATTCTGTTAAAGAATGCTAATACATGGTATAAAACTAACACATACTGAAAAATGAAATTTGGAAAATACTGAAAAGTATGAAGGGTAACTTTTTAAAAGCATATACATTCTATTACAATAGGGTGATCACAGTCAACAATAATTAATTGTATGTTTAAAAATAATGGAATGTTTGTAACACAAACATATGATAAATGCTTGAGATGGTGGATATCCCATTTACCCTGATGTAGTTATTATGCATTGTTTGTTTGTGTCAAAATATCTCATACACTCTACAAATATATACACCTACTATGTACCAGTAACTTTTTTAAAAAAGAAATTATCTTGGTTAATATTTTAGGTTTTCATTTCATTATTTCTGTATTTATTGCATCTATTTTAATATCTTATGATCACTTAACATTATAGATTAAGCATTCATTCTTCCTAGCAATGCTTGATGAACATAATTTTAATGATTACTTTATAATTCATTTATGGATGTGTTATAATTCAATATTTCCTTATTGGTAGATATTTAATTACGTTCAATGTTTTACTATTTATCATAATGGACATATCCTTCATGTTTTAGTTATGTTCTTAACACAGACAGCAAGAATTAGAATCACTGAGTAAAAAGACACAGAGGGGAAAATATCTTGAAACATATTATTGAACTGCTTTCGCAATGTTTATAGCCGTTTCTATTCTCATAATCCCCCCATGAAAATGACATGTATAAAACTCTCACCAGCTTTGTGAGAGTTTCTGTAAATACTATTCATTCTATAAATACTGATCTGATGGTTAAATTGGTATCTCATAATCTTTCAATCAGTGTTTCAGCAATTACTTCTAATACTGCAATAGTTTCTATATTCACCAGTACTTTTGTTTTACTTTTCAGGCAGCTGTTATTCTTTGTCCTTTTATGTGGCAATGCTTAACTTTTCAGTAAGTTTGAATGATGTCTTTAATTGTAAGGGTATCAAACTTTGTCATATTTGTTTTATTATTTTCCAGTGTGCTGTTTGCATTTAATTATGTGCACTGGCATACAGGTTATTTTACATTTGAAGTATACAATCAAATTTTACTTCTTTTTCTAAAATTACTATCAAGTTAAAAAGTACTCATAAATTCAGAAATTTCATAAATTCATTTCTATTCTAGATTTTAAAAATTTGTTTAATTGCAATTATTTAAATTTTAAGTCAAGTTAATTTCAATTGAGCTATTTAGGCATTAGGAATTTAGAAATTTCATCAACCTAATGTGTGCAAATATGCAATGATTGTTCCTTGACCCCTAGTTTTTAGGAGATCAATTTGATTATTCAAAAATGACTTTTTAATTCAAAATTTTTTCTGTTTGTAAAATACATGAGAGGTCTGCAATATGAGAGGTAATTTTCCATGTAATAAAAAGAAATACTATTTTGGGAGAAGGAGCTACCTGTAAACAGTCTAGCACAGCATAAGGGTCTTGCCCTGCACTCTGCTTTTATAGCTCTCCATAATTTTACAATTTGTCCTTTCTTTTTATTTTGGAATTCACAGATTTTCTCAAAGCCTTTTTCCAGTAGCAGCAAGACCATGTTTAGTTGAATGGACGAAAGGTGACCAGAAGACAAAGAAATAGTATAGGGAAAGTAGAAGCTGTTTGTGTGCCTATGTATTTGTAAATGTCCCAGTGGGGTTACTATAGCCAAGCAGTTAACAGATGGTTCAGATTTATCTCTAGTTTATTTATTGATGAATTTTCAATGACAATTTATATACTTATTTGGTAAGGAATTGACTATTAAGTTGACAGAGAAAGAAAGCTTCAAAACAATTTGAAATTAGCATGCTATCTGTAGTTCAAAAATGAAATGAATTATTGTGAATTTTATTAAGTGAGCCAGAATATGTGACTAATCCATCCTCTAATTATGACAAACCCAGTGAACAGAGGAATCAATGCTTCCTTTACTGCAATGAGAGAGTCTTACATTTCCTACTATTGCACGAAGTGAATTCCAATATTGCAGAAAGTGAATTCTAACAAAATTATCTTTCTCTTAATAGACTCAACTAAGGGCTGATTTTTTTCATTGTCCTCATTGCATACACCTGCTACGGAAATCTAATATACTAAATAACATGTGTCTTTTTTCCTGTTGCTTTCAGTTGGACCCCATACTTTTGCATTTAACTCAGAAGACTCAAATATATGTGGTGTTTTACATTCAGCATAGTTTAATAATATCTAGAGATGATTAGCAGAAAATTTTAATCATCCATTTTTTTTTGGTTTGACCTAATTTCTTATGAAGTCAGTGCTTTGTCTTGCATTTCATTTTCACTGGATATTCTGTATGCAGTTAACTTTTAATTTAAGAGGAAGGAACATTTTTAGACATATTTTATATGGTAGCAATGTGGATATAGTTATGAGAGCTTTACAGTCATTCTTTACACTACATTGTTAATGACCCCTTTCAACTCACAAAACACATTTTCCCCTGACATATGTTTATTTTTCTTTCTCATTTCCAAATCTCTCAATCATGAATTGAAAGCATTAATATCTCCCTAGAACAGATGCCCCTGAAGTCCCCTTGCAAACATAAGAATTTCCCTGAAAGTGAAGAGGGTAGATATAAGAAAGGCAGTGTGTTCAAACCTGTGGCATCCATTGTATCCTGTTTTTCTCTCCTCATATGAAAAAATTTATTCTCTTTAAAAAATTTCCTCCATAGTGATTATTTCTAAGTTTAGTCAAATTAAGCTGTTGTTTTAAACTCTGTATTTTTCAAAACTAGTACTTATTCAAGACAGTTTAATTTTTAATCCATCAGCAGCTTTGCCTATATGATGAAGAACATCCTTAAATGGTATTCAGTCACAGGTCTTTATGGTTGCCAAGTATTTAAGATGAGATGGGGAGAAGAGGAAAAGAAAAAAAAAAAGAAGAAAAAAACCCAAAACTTATCTCCCACTCTTTGTACATTGGCTCTGTGCTGAGGCTTCCCTTCACCAATTAGCCAGGCCATTCACAACTCTGTCTTCACCCTCACTTTTTGCCTGGACCGCTCTTAGAGATCACTCAGAGGTGAAATTCTGGGTCTTCTCGGCTCTTCTCTGAGTAAGCTTCCTGTCCTGGGCATGAATGTGGCTTTCTAAACACTCCAATAAACGCTGGCACTTTTTAATGCCCTAAGTTCCAAAAGAAACTCTCCTCTGCTTTTCCTCACAGACTTCTAGTCTTTTATATGCCCTGAAGACCTACTGAAGCTGCTATGGGTTAGTCAGTCACCTTGTAATGTTTTTGAGGAATGCCTGCAGCTTTTTCTCCTCAAGTAGGTTCCTAGTTAGGGAAAACAATGACCGACCATGCATCAGCTTACGCCCCAGACAGATAAGAAGAGACAAACAATTCTTTATCCATGAAGCTTTCTCTCCCCTCTCCAAAACCAGGGCCCAGGGGCCCAGGCTGGGAAACTCTACCAGATTCAGAATAGCTGCAGTGCTGGGGAGGGGTTGGCACAGGAACAAATAAAGCATCATAAAGCTTTCCTACTGTTTTTAAGTTGCCTTTTCTTTGATTCAGCATTTGTTTTCTTGTTGACAACCTTTGACTGTTTTCCAGACTTTTGACAAAGTTGGTTCTGACAGTTTTTGCTTGATTTTTTTTAAGCTTCTGTTTTCAACCAAACTAAAATGAAATCAGGCAAAAAGCAGCAAGATACTGGTGCTTATTCAGGATCTTGTCTATTCTTATAGTCAAATATGAATTACTCTGTCTTAACTAGAACTAAAAACCAGAAATTTTTATGTTTAAAACGTTTATGCTTTTTTACACAGTAACCTTCTAGGAAATTATTTGCAGAAAATAATCAGAAATTTTCATGATGCTATCTACTCAGTTTTATTTACCAGAGTTAATATAATGTTGATATTTTCCACACTATTAATGATTTAATACTAATAAGTTTAAGTGACTGTATAGAAGACGTTAATCAAAGGAATCATCATTTTGGCCTAATAACTTAGAAACAGAGATACAGATATAGATTTATCTATAAGAATTAGATTATTTTAAATTATTTTACAACATGAACAACATTATATTAACTTAAATATAAATTTAAAAATGGTAATAAGCAGTATAATCCAATGTTGTTAAAATATTAGTGTGTATTTATATGCATAAAATTTGTTCATATATATGAATATAATCTTTATGTCATGACTCACATATGTAATTTTATAATATAGTCCCGGGCACACAGGAGACATGGAAGGAAGAAACAGACAAGGAAAGACAAATTGCTGAGCTCATTTACGATAAAAGTATACACTTCAAAAAAATTCATGAAAAATAGAATGATAAAAATTATTTTCGTTTTGTGTAAAGTTAGAAAAACATAAAGAAAAAATAAGCAAGGCCTAATCTATTGCTTTTTAAAAAAACTTTAGAACACTATAGCCTTTCTACATATAATGTTAATCAAGATGGGAAAGGCAGGACTATGGACCTTTGGAGATAACGCCCATTTATGCAAACACTTTCACATATATAGCAATACCCTAATATGAATTTTTTATCTTACGTGGGTCACTAGTTTATTTGCATTTTTGGGGTATTTAGCTACATTTCTGTTTAACTTTTATAATATTGTATATAATATACACACATGTTTAATATCTTATAATACTGGCAATATTCAGTGTATGGTCATAATTTCTATGATATCAGTAAGGTCGATTATAAAATGTGTTTTTCCACATTTTCTCACTTATAAATGGGAGCTAAATAATGAGAACACAGCCATGCATAGAGGGGAACAACATACATTGGCGCCTATTGGAGGGTGGAGGGTGGGAGGAGAAAGGGGATCAGGAAAAATAACCAATGGGTACTAAGCTTGATACCTAAGTGATGAAATAATCTGTACAGCAAACTCCCATGAGGAAAACTTACCTATATAACAAACCTGCACCGGTACCCCTGAACTTAAAAGTTTAAAAAAAAAAAGTGTTTTTAATAATAGTGATATAACATTTTATCATCAATGATGATGTTTTCATTCTTAAAAGATAACCATGTTCATCTGAACTATTTTGAGAAAAAAATTACTATAAAAAGCACGTTATGTTTAAGCAATATTTTTGTTTTAAAACAAATCTATAAAATCTATCTATCTACCTACCATCTATTTATCATTTAATTACCTCAGCTGCAGTACTGAAAGATGGATGTTTATCAGTGGGACAGACAGGGCATTAAAAAAAGCTAAAATGATGCCCCTCACAGGTCTGCCACCGTGTGTCTATATATGTACTCCTCAGTATATTTCTTAATAGCTGAAATGGCATCGTGCCTGCAACTCATCACTGACTTAATTATCTTTCTGCTCTTATCTAGCCAGGCCAGGAATAGAATAATGAAAGAAATGACAGACTTTGTTGTTGCTATGATTTAGGTAAATTTCCTAGATGACAACTGCTCCTGAAGGAAGACATCATATTGAATTATTGGTGCCAGAAACAAGAGTATTATTTTATACTTTCACATAAAGGCTCTGAGAAAACCTTCCCATCCCATGAGCCTCAGTTGTGTGATTGCAAATAACTGCATCCCTTTTTGGGGGATACGATGCTAGCTAATGCCCATATTTATTCCACATCTCTTTTAACATGGTGTCGATAAGTCAACATAATAAACATTTCTTTCAAAACTGCCATCTCTTTGCCAGTTAAAAAACCCCTCCCACCCAATATTATAAGGTGAGGAGATAGGAATCTAATGAATGGAGTTTAAAGGGTGAGAGCAGGCCGGCGCAGTTGCTCACACCTGTAATCCCAGCACTTTGAGAGGCCTAGGCTGGCAGATCACTTGAGGTCAGGAGTTCGAGACCAGCCTGGCCAACATGGTGAAACCCCGTCTCTACGAAAAATACAAAAATTAGCCTGGCGTGGTGGTGCGTGCCTGTAGTCTCAGCTATTTGGGAGGCTGAGGCAGGAGAATCACTTAAACCAGGGAGGCTGAGGTTGCAGTGAGCCAAGAAAGTGCCACTGCACTCCAGCCTGGGCAGTAGAGCAAGACTCCATCTCAAAAAATAAATTTAAAAAATAAATAAATAAAATAAAAAAGGTGAGAGCAGCTCTGAACAGAAGGTGAGCTACTTGGAAAGTTCAATTTTCTTTTTTCAAACATATCCTCATTGAATGCAGCAAGTAGAACTGCATATCCACTTATTAATAGGAAGAAAAGATTAAGCCTTGATTAGGCTAGTTGCTATTTCCTTTTAATCAGTTAAGAGAAAAGAAAAAAAAAATCATTTTTATCCTTTTTACCCTCAGGAAAGATGGGAATTCTGTGGTACTTCTACCTCTAACAAATTTAAGGTGTGAAATTACAATAGTATTTTATGACCTAGGTCATAAATACAGGTCACTTGGTTGTGATTTTTGGATTTTTTTTTTTTTTTAAACAGAGTCCCGCTCTGTTGCCCAGGCTGGATTGCAGTGGCATGATCTCGTCTCACTGCAACCTCCATCCCCTGGGTTCAAGCGATTCTCCTGCCTCAGCCTCCTGAGTACCTGGGACTACAGGCGCATATCACCACGCCCAGCTAATTTTTGTATTTTTAGTAGAGCCAGGGTTTCAATATGTTGGCCAAGATGGTCTTGGTCTCCTGACCTCACGATCCACCCGACTCGGTCTCCCAAAGTGCTGGGATTACAGGTGTGAGCCACCACGCCCAACCCTGGATTTTAGTTTTTTACGCCTAAAGAAATACAATGATATGTTATGTGAAGAACAACATCCTGTCTCCTCCAATACATACAAATAAAAGTGTAAATAGCATATTTTATTTATGTTTTTAAAATACAGAAATTGTAGGCAAGCACCAATTCAGTAAGAATTTTTTTATATTTTAAAATAATAGTGTTCTCTGCTTCTCATCAATATTTTTCCCATTCTCAAGAATTTATGTTCTAAGTGAATATATATGAAAGTATGTATGTTTTTATAAATATGATTACACACACCTAATACAGGAAGCTTTCACTTTGTGTGGAAATACAGGATAGCAATAATGACCATATAAGGTGAAACTTCAAAGTAATCATAACAATCAATAATAATAATTTTGCTGTGACCTCCAAACATTTTTGGCAATTTTTGTTATTAAAAATTATTTTCACTGTAAATTATAAATGTATAAAGAAATTCAAGAACTATAAAAATGAATATTTACATAGTATACTGTAATTAAAACAGAGACATTGAGAATTAAAGTGCTCTATTTATTGGTAAAAAGCATTATTATTTTATTTTTATGAAAATAATTTCAACATTTATTACAGATTAAAGGGTACATGTGCAGGTTTGAAACATGGGTACATGTTGTTATGCTGAGGTTTGGGGTCCCAACAATCCCATCACCCAGGCAGTAGGCATAGCTTCCAACAGGTGGTTCTACAGCCTGCACCCACTCCTCTCCTTCTAGTGGTCCTCAGTGTCTATTGTTCCTATATTTATGTTCCTATGTGCTGTGTTTAGCTCTCATTTATGAGTGAGAATATGCAGTATTTGGTTTTCTGTTTTTATGTTACTTAGCTTAGAATAATGGCTTCCAGCTCCATTCATGTTGCTGTAAAAGTCATGATTTTATTCCTTTTTATGGCTGTGTGTCCAGAGTTGGTTCCTTCCGGTGGGTTCCTGATCTTGCTGACTTCAAGAAGGGAGCCATGGACCTTTGCGGTGAGCTTTACAGCTCTTAAAGATGGCACAGACCCAAAGAGTGAGCAGCAGCAAGATTTATTGTGAAGAGAGAAAGAACAAAGCTTTCACAGGGTGAAGGGAACTGAGCAGGTTACCCCTGCAGACTGAGGGGGCCAGCTTTTATTCCCTTATTTATCCCCCACCCATGTCCTGCTGATTGGTCCATTATACAGAGTGCTGATTAGTCCATTTTACAGAACGCTGATTGGTCCATTTTACAGAGCACTGATTGGTCCATTTTACAGAGTGCTGATTGGTCCATTTTACAAACCTCTAGCTAGCCACAGAGCACTGATTGGTGCATTTTTACAGAGCACTGGCGCATTTTACAAACCTCTAGCTAGCCACAGAGAGCTGATTGGTGCATTTTACAATCCTAGCTACAGAGTGCTGATTGGTGCATTTTACAATCCTCTTATAAGACAGAAAAGTTCTCCAAGTCCCCACCCAACCCAGAAGTCCATCTGGCTTCACCTCTCAGCTGTAGTGTTACATGGTATATTTATAATACAGCATTTTCTTTATCCAATTGACTGTTGATGGGCATCTAGATTGAATCTATGTCTTTGTTATTGTGAATAGTGCTGCAATGAACATACGACTCCATGTGTTTTATTGATAGAATGAATTATTTCCTTTGGACACATACCCAGTAGTGGAATTACTGGATCGAATGGTAGTTGTACTTTCAGTTCTTTAAGAAATCTCCATCTGGGCACAGTGACTCACGCCTGTAATCTCAGCATTTTGGGAGGCTGAGGTGAGTGGATCACCTGAGGTCAGGAGTTCAAGACCAGCCTGGCCAACATGGTGCAACCCTGTCTCTACTAAAAAATACAAAAATTAGTCGGACATGGTGTTGGGCACCTGTGATCCCAGCTACTCTGGAGGCTGAGTCAGGAAAATTGCTTGAACCTGGGAGGTGGAGGTTGCAGTGAGCAGAGATTGTGCCACTGCACTCCAGCCTGGACGACAGAGACTCAAAAAGAAATCGCCATACTGTTTTCCATAGTGGTTGTACTAATTTACATTCACACTAGTAGTTTGAAAATGTTCCCTTTCACCACATCCGTACCAACATCTTTTGTTTTTTGATTTTTTAATTATGGTCATTCTTGCAGCAGTAGACGATTTTCTCATTGCGGTTTTAATTTGCATTTCCCTCTCTAATGATTAGTGCTGTTGAGCACTTTTTCATATGTTTGTTGGCTGTTTGTATATCTTCTTTTGAGAAACATCTATTCATATCCTTTGCCCATTTTTGATGGGATTTTTTTTTTCCTTGCTGATTTGTTTGAGTTATTGTAGATTCCAGACACTAGTCTTTTGTCGAATGCATAGTAGTTTGCAAATATCTTCTCCCACTCTGTGTGTTGTCTGTTTACTTGGCTGATTATTACTTTTGCCGTGCTGAAGCTTTTTAGTTTAATTAGGTCCTATTTATTTATTTATTTATTTTTTGCTTTTGGGTCTTAATCATGAATTTTTTGCCTAAACCAACGTCCAGAAGTTTTTCCGATGTAATCTTCTAGAATTTTTATGGTTTCACATTTAAATTTAAGTCTTATCCATTTTGAGTTGATTTTTGTATGCGGTGAGAGATGGGAATCCAGTTTCATTCTTATACATGTGGTTTGCCAGTTTTCCTAGCACCATTTATTGAATAGTGTGCCCTTTCCCCAGTTTATGTTTTGGTATGCTTTGTTGAAGATCAGTTGGCTGTAAATACTTTCTGGGTTCTCTATTCTGTTCTATTTGTCTATGCCCCTATTTTTATACCAGAATCTTGCTGTTTTGGTAACTATAGCGTTATAGTATGGTTCAAAGTTGGGTAATGTGATGCCTTCAGATTTTTCCTTTTTCTTAGTATTGCTTTGACTATGTGGGCTCTTTTTTGATTCCATAATGAATTTTAGGATTATTTTTCTAGTTCTGTGAAGAATGATGATAGTATTTTAATGAGAATTGCATTGACTCTATAGATTAATATGGGCCATATGTTCATTTTCTTCCCATCCATAAGCATGGAAAGCGATTCCATTTGTTTATGTCATCTAAGATTTTTTCAGCAGTGTTTTTTAGTTTTCCTGTAGAGATCTTTCACCTTTTTGTGCAGCTGTTGTAAAAGGAAGTGAGTTCTTGAATTTATTCTCTACGTGGTCGTTGTAAGTGTATTGAAGTGCTACTGATTTATGTACATTGATTTTGCATGCTGAGACTTTTCTGAATTAGTTTATTAGATCTAGAAGCTTTTTAGATGAGTCTTTAGGGTTTCCCAGGTATACAATTACATCATGAACAAACAGCAGCAGTTTGAATTCTTCGTTTTCAATTTGGATGTTCTTTATTTCTTTCTCTTGTCTGATCTGGCTAGGACTTCAAGTATTATGTTGAGTGTAAGTAGTAAAAGTAGACACACTTGTCTTGTTCCAGTTCTCAAGGGGAATGCTTTCAACTTTTCCCCACTCAGTGTGATATTAGCTGTGGGTTTGTCATACATGACTTTTATTACTTTGAAGTATGTTCCTTCTAGGCCTATTTTGTTGAGGGCTTTTATCATAAAGGGAAGCTGGATTTTATCCATTGTTTTTTCTGTGTCTATTGAGATGATCATATGGTTTTTGATTTAATTCTGTTTATGTACTGTATCACAGTTATTGACTTGCATATGTTAAACCATCCCTGTATCCCCAAGATGAAATTCACATGATCGTGATGTATTATTATCTTTTTGATGTGCTGTTGGATTCAGTTAGCTAGTATTTTGTTCAGGATTTTTGCATCTATGTTAATCAGTGATATTCATCTGAAGTTATCTTTTTTAATGTCTTTTCCAGGTTTAGGTACTAGGTTAATACTTACTTCATAGAATAATTTAAGGAGGATTCCCTCTGATATGGCTAGGCTTTGTGTCCCCACCCAAATCTCATCTTAAATTTTAATCCCTATAATCCCCACGTGTCAAGGGAGAGACCAGGTGGAGGTAATTGAGTAATGGTGGTGGTTCCCCCAGGCTGTTCTCGTGATAGTGAGAAAGTTCTCATGAGATCTGATGGTTTTATAAGGGGCTCTTCCCCCTTTCCTCAGCATGTTTCCTTCCTGCTTCCTTGTGAAGAAGGTGCCTTGCATCCCCTCTGCCTTCTGCCATAATTGTGTTTTCTGAGTTTTTCCCAGCCATGCTTAGCTGTAACTCAATTAAACCTCTTTCCTTTATAAATTACCCAGTCTCAGGCAGTTCTTTATACCAGTATTCAAATGGACTAATACATTGTCTTTCTCTTTCAGAATTTTTTCAGTAGGATTGGCACCAATACATCTTTGAAGGACTGGTAGAATTCAGCTGTGAATTCATCCAGTCTTGGACTTTTTTTTTTTTTAAGTTCCGTGATACATGTGCAGAACATGCAGGTTTGTTACATAGGTATACGTGTGCCATGGTGGTTTGCTGCACCTATTGACCCATCCTCTAAGTTCACTCCCATCACTGCCAACACTCAACAGGCCCCCGTGTGTATTTCTCCCCTCCCTGTGTCCATGTATTCTCATTGTTCAACTCCCACTTACGAATAGGAACATGCGGTGAACTTTCCTCTTAGCGCTGCCTTTGCTGTATCCCAGAGGTTTTGATTAGTTGTGTCAGTATTATCATTCATTTCAAATAATTTTCATATTTCCATTCTGATTTCATAGTTGACCCAATGATCATTCAGGAGCAGGTTATTTAATTTCCATGTACTTGAATGGTTTTGAGGGTTCCTTTTGGAGTGATTTCCAATTATACTTCACTGTGATCTGAGAGAGTACTTGATATAATTTTGATTTTCTTAAATTTATTGAGACTTGTTTTGTGGCCTATCATATGGTCTATCTTTGGTAATGTTCCATGTGCTGATGAGAAGAATGGGTATTCTATACTTGTTGGGGAGCATGTTCTGGAAATATATGTTAAATCGATTTGTTCTAGGGTATAGTTTAAGTCCATTATTTCTTTGTTGGCTTTCTGTCTTGATGATCTGTCTAGTGCTATCAGTGGGGTATTGAAGTCCCCCACTATTATTGTGTTGCTATCTATCTCATTTCTTAGGTCTAATAGTAACTGTTTTTATAAATCTGGGAGCTCCAGTGTTAGGTGCATATAATTTTAAGATGGTAATGTCTTCCTGTTTTGTGTAGTTTTGAAAAAATCTCTTGATTTTGGTTTCTGTTTTTATTGCACTACTGTTTAAGAATATGCTTGATATAATTTTGATTATTTTAAATTTATTGAGACTTGCTTCAAGATAAAGCATGTGGTTGATATTAGAATATATTCCATGTGTAGATGAGAATAATGTATATTCTTCGGTTTCTAAGTGAAGCCTTCTATAGATGTCTATTAAGTTCAATTGGTCAAGGGTAGAATTTAAATACAGAATATTTTTGTTAGTTTTCTGCCTTGATGATCTGTCTAACACTGTCAGTGGGGTGTTGAAGTCCCTCACTATTATTGTGTGACTCTCAAAGTCTTTTTGTAGGTCAGGAAGAACTTGTTTTGTAAATGCAGGTGCTCCAATATCGGGTACATATGTATTTAGGATAGTTAAGTCTTTTTGTTGAATTAAACCCCTTATCATTATGTAATGCTTTATTTGTCTTTCCTGATTGTTATTGGTTTAAAGTCTGTAATATCTGATAAAAAATAGCAACTCCTGCTCTTTTCTGGTTTCTGTTTGCCTGGCAGGTCTTTCTCTATCCCTTTACTTTGAGCCTGGAGCATTATTATACAGAGATATGTCTCTTGAAGACAACAGACAGTTGGATTTTGTCTTTTTTTATCCAGTTTGCCACTCTATGACTTTTAATCCTTTTTGGGTTTGCTCTGAGAATACTCACTAGTGGCACTTGTGGCTGCAGTGTTTGCCCAAAAATGACTTTGCCACAAAATATTGCTTTTAATATTATTTTTGCATCACTCTAGTTTATTGACTTTGGAAACAAAAGACACTGTTCTATATATAATATTCTGTTTTTAGTAGTGATATTCTCATTTACAAACTATAGTAATTCTCAATTGCTAAAAATATCAAATCCTAGAAAGTTTGGCACTCCTATGCATAATGTTAACATCATTCTCTAATACTTGTTGGCCAAAAATTCATTTGATGAATCCAATTTTTACAAAATAGATAATTCTAATTATTCTGATGTTAATTCTGTCTAGAAATGACTCAGAGAATAGTTTTTAGATTTTATTTTCACATTTAAAATCAGTCAAATTTTCAACTTCAAAGAGTGTGTTTAAATGAATGCTGGCAAAGAGCTGTACTTTTTTATCTACATGGGAAAAGGGTTTATTGAGGCATGTAGACCATTTATATTCAGGATTAGTATTGACATATGAGATTTTGATTCTGTCATCGTGCTCTTGCTGCTTATTTTGTAGACTTGATTGTGTAATTGTGTAATATCGTATGTGGGCTATGTGCTTGAGTGTGTTTTTGTGGTAGCAGGTTTTGATCTTTGGTTTCCATGTTTAACACTCCATTACGGACATATTTTAAGGGTGGTTTGCTGGTAACGAGTACCCTTAGTGCTGGAGAATTTTATTTTTACTTCGCTTATGAAGTTTAGTTTGTCAGGGTGTGATATTCTTGGTTGGAATTTATTTTCTTTAAGAATGCTGAAAATAGGCTCCCAATCTCTTATGGTTTGTAAGGTTTCTGTTGAGAGGTCTGCTGCTAGCCTGATGAGGTTCTCTTTTTAGGTGGCCTGACCTTTTTTCCACCTACCCATAAGTTTTTTGTGTTTGTGTTTACACTGGTGAATCTGATGACTATGTGCCTTGGGTATGGTTATCTTGTGTAGTATCTTGCAGAGGTTCTCTGTGTTTCATGAATTTGTACATCCTCCTCTCTAGCAAGATTAGAAAGTTTTCATAAATGGTGTCCTCAAATGTGTTTTCCAAGTTGCCTACTCTCTCTTCTTCTCTCTCAGAAATGCCAGTGAGTCATATATTTGGTCTCTTTATGTAATCGCATATTTCTCAGAGGTTTTGTTCAGGTTTCTGAATTCTTTTTTCTTTATTTTTGTCTGACTGAGTTGATTTGAAAAACCAGCCTTCAATCTCTGAAATTCTTTCTTCAGCTTGATCTAGTCTAATGTTCATGCTTCTAACTGTATTGTGAAATTCTTGACGTAAATTCTTCAGTTCTAGAAGCTTAGTTTTGTTATTTTGTAAAATGGCTATTTCATCTTTTAGCTCCTAGATCATTTTTTACAAATTTATTACATTCCTTGGATTTGGTTTCAACTTTCTCCTTAATCCTGATGAGCTTTCTTGCCATCCAGATTCTGAATTCTATGTCCATCATTTCAGTCATCTCAGTCTGACCAAGAACCATTTCTAGGGTTCTAGTGGGTTCTTTTGCAGTTAAGGGAACACACTGGCTTTTTGAGATTCGAGTTCTTGGATTGAAACTTTCTTATGTGTGAGGGCTAATGTTCCTTTAACTGTGATGTGAGTTAAGTTTAGTCAGTTGGCTTTATTTCTGGATATTTTCAGAGGGCCAGAACTTTGTACTAAATCTATATTTGTGGCTGGATTTTTGCCTTAGTTTTCACAGGTGCTGTATACTAGCAAAATATTTTGGTGTTGCATTTTGGGCTGTAATCTAGTATGTGGCATTTACAAGTACTGGCTGGCAGATAGACTCTTACTCAGCCATATGTCTCTTTGGTACTTTGGCACAGTTGGCAGCAGTGCTCTGTGTTTGAGGAGATGTGGGAGAGAAATGACTGCCTCACCTGGCCGGCTCCTGCATTTTGGAAGAGCCTCCTCCAATCATTGGTTCCATGGTTGTGTTGCCTTTGTTAGGTGTTCTTGTCCACAGGGCTCCCTCAGGCAGGGATCATGGTTGGCAGACCACACTAGCTGCCTCTAGTCTGTCATCTTGACTCCCTCCTCCTATAGGACCTGCCGGACAGGTCCTGTGGAGGGAGGCACACCCTGCTTGCTCCTCCACTCACTCACAAAACCAGGCACCTAACACCTCTCCATGTTCTGAGACTATGCACTCTCCCTTCTTTGGTCACTAACTCAGCCAGTGGGTACCACTCAGCTAGAAGCAGCGGGGTGCTTACCCAATCTACTGTCTGGGTGCTTCTTGTGGGAACATGGGATTACACCCTCCCACAGAGTTTAGGCAGAAGCATTTCCACTGTGCTGCAAGCCACAGGAGATATGGACCACCTGGCTATGAGCAGTGGTGATGGATGGGTTGCCCATCCTGCCATCAAAGTGCTTCCCGAGGAACCTGGAGCTGTTCCCCCTGGCAGAGTTGAGGCAGAAACAAGGCCACTGCGCTGGAAGCTGGCACCAAGCCTAGTCTTCTGAGGTGGAGTGGAGCAATCTTACTGTTCTTGGACACTCCAATTGTGTTCTCAGTTGGGGCTATGGCAGCTGGTGCTGGGTTTCTCTGAAGTCCAGTGCTTTTGGCGGTCCCCATAGACTTGAGTGCTGCCTCTGCAAAAACTGCAGATGGCTCTGTATCAGTCTAGCAGCCTAGCGGGTGAAGGGAATTTTCTCCTTCCAAGGCTTGCACAGCTCCCTGTGGATCCCCCAGTGGCTCTCACTCACTCATTCACCCTTTCCCCATTTTGGGGCGCTTCTCCTGCCTGTGTACTAATCCCAGATGGGCTTCTGCTTAGCTTCACTCTTTTCTGTTCTCTGTGTTCCCTCACTGCCTTGCTGGATCTCCACATGGTTTATTAGATGATTGGCTTGCAGGGCCGCTAGGCGCTGTTTAGCAGCCACTTTGTTTTCTCTCTGTAGAAGTGTTGCACACTAGCTGCCTCTAGTCTGCCAACTTGACTCTCTCCTCCTATAGTTTCTGAACAGAAACTATTCTCATATAGTTCATCTTCATCATCATCTTATAAATTATGACATGGAATTAGAATCTTTCCTACACCTTGGTAAATTGAATTGTTTTTTTCTAAATTTGCAGCAATTCCCAGCATGTATCTTTTGCATCGTCAGTATCGTAAGCTAGCTCTAAGAGTTTATTTAAAGTATTTTTTTAACCAATGTCACTTTTTCTATGAAAACATTAGTACAATCATTTTCTTATTTATGAGTGCCAAATTAAAAAATAAAATAGATCAACTGGAAGGCAATATTGGTTTTATATCAAAAAATAAACAGATACCATAAACAATTTATTGCAAAATAAGAAAAAACATTTAAAGATTCCTTGGTGTCCAATGTATAATAGAAAAATCGCATACGAGAAATTGAAACATAAGTTTGTATGGAAAGAAATAGAAAGAAGACAAAAGTAAATGTGTAAAAAAGCAAAAATTTAAGTAAACTAAAAAAGTATAAGTTAAAACGTGTTTCCAAGTTAATGAAGAACAAAATTAACATTAAAGGCAATAATTTTGATGAAAAATCCTGAAAGCAATATTTCAAGAATAAAAAGGAAATAGAGGAAAGAATAAAAATCAGCTGACATAATGATCATAATGAGAACAAGAAAGACAAAAATGAAAGCTGAATAAGCCTGAAATATACAGATTAAATAAGTACCATAGCATGGGAAAAATCAACACAAGTAGTAAATGCAACAACACCAATTTATAAACAAAGAAATAAATATAAACAGTGAGAAAATTTTTCTCCATTTAGTAAAAAAAGAGACAAAATAGCAAACGGTCTGCAGTGAAACTAAAATTTTCTTGCCCACAGTTTTCTCTGTTACAATTAATGTCAGAAGACAATAAATAACATTTATAAATCTATGACAGAAAAGATTATGTCACAATTTTTAGATAAGTGATTTTATTTTCACATTTGAGAACCCAAGAAAAATAACCTTATATATAAAACAACCAAGATCTTAAATAATTTATGTAATCTTTTTAAATTGCTGGAATACATAATCTAGCAGTTCAATGTGTTAAACAAGACATACGTTCAAATCTATGGTATGGATATTGAGAAATTTGATTTCAAAAATTGACATCAATTGTGTCATAAAATGAGCAGATCATTTAGCTGGTTGAGCATCATTATATTCTGGCAGTAATATAGCAGTATATTTAAATTACTGACAGGAGTGCCTGGGCTTTGTTACTCTTATATCTATGATGACTTAACATGGGCTATTAAACATCGAACAAAAATATAAAATAATGGTGAAAATATGAGGTTTGATTGCATCATAAATAATGCAACTACATAAACAAAAGTGGGAAATATACTGAATGGTCTCCTTCTCAATTTCTCTACTGTTATATCTGATATCTGATGTCCCAAAGTGACTTACATATAAGGATATCTTCAATACTGTGGACAGGGGCTGGTCCAATATGGATGCCTATCTTCTCCATTCATGTCCATTATTCCAGTTCTTCAATGTTCCCTAAAAATGGCTCTAACATCTATCCTTTCTACACAATATCTGCTACCACCATCCTAATCTGAGGTCTCTTGCTTGTACCTCAGTAGCCAACCACCAAGTTCATCCATCTATTCTGTCATAAAGGACCTCAATCTGCATACCATTCAACTCCAGTCTTCAAAATGATGCACAGCCTTGTTTTGAAATGAAAATGTGATGGTAGTGATCTGCTCTACTTCCTTTTCCTTTTTTTTAGCAAACTGAATTCTCCACAAAACAGATGAAATACATAGAATTAGTTTTCTATTACTGTGTAAGAAATTACCACAACTGTAGTGGGTTAATAAAACACAAATATATTATCTCAGAGTTTCCTTGGGTCAGGAGTTCAGTACAGCATGGCTGGGTTCTTAACAAGGTTGAAATCAAAGTATCAGCTGGACACATCTTCATCTGCAGACTCCATTAGGTTATTGGCAAAATTTATTTCTTTGTGGCTGAGTGAATGAAGTCTCTGTTTTCTTGCTGATACCGGCAGGTCCCAGAGATGTGGTTCCTTCTACACTTGGTCCTCTCACATTTCCAATCTCTCTTATGTTGAGCTCATAGGTTACTTATTTTCAGAAGTGGTCCAGACCTTTTTAAAGGCTACTCTAATTAGATCAGGCTTACCCAAGATAACTTCTGTTCTTAAAGCAAACTGTGCTATATAGCAGGGTTCCCCAACCTCTGGCCATAGACCCGGAATCAGCCACGCAGCAGGAGGTGAGCAGTGGTGGAGGGAAAATTACCTACCACCTGAGCTTCGCTTCCTGTCAGATCAGCAGTGGCCTTAGAGTCTCATAGGAGCGCATGAACCCTATTGTGAACTGCGCAGGTGAGGGATCTAGGTTGCATGCTCCTTATGATGATTTGAAGTGGAACGGTTTCATCCCCAAACCATCCCCCACCCCCAATCCATGGAAAAATTGTCTTCCATGAAACCAGTCTCTGGTGCCAAAAAGGTTGGGGACCACTGCTCCATAGCATATCCTAATTATGGGAGCTATATTCATCATATAGACAGGTCCCACCCATACTCAAGAAGAGGATATTACACATCAGGGAGCAGGGACCTTGGTAGCCATTTTAGAATTCTGCCTATCACATATGTATTTTCTTCACCATTTTATTTCCAGTAATCAGGACAGTGCCTGGCCTACAATAAGTTCTTAATACAATATTCTATGATAGTTTCTTAATTTCATCTTATATCTGTTTTCTGGGCTACAGCTTGTATGACCGTCTGCCAACTTTACTTCTCCATTTAGATTCCTAGTAGCCAACAAATATTATTGTGACAAAAACAGAATGCAGAATTTATGCCTACCACTCCTCAAGTCTCACCAAGTCCAGGAAATTGTATTGTATTGCAATTCAACTGCCTCTCAGGCCAAAATTTGGGCATCATCCCTGGTTCCTCTTTTCCATTTTCATCCCATAGTCAGTCCCTCCACAAATCTTGTCAATCTTACTTTCAAAATATATGCTAAATCTGTTAACTCTTTATTTTTCCCTTGCTTTCATCCAAGTCCAACATCCTTTGTCTCTGGCCTGTATAACTGCTACAACTGGTAAAGTGGTTTCCCTGTTTCCAGGATCTGCCCTGACACCTTCTTTCAATCTGTTATCTGGGAAAATTGTTTTTATTTATTTATGTTATTTTTAGTGGACATATGATGATTATATATGCTTCTGTGGTACATGTGATATTTTAACAGATACATAAAATATGTAGTGATCAAATCGGGGTAATTGAGATATTCACCACCTCAAACATTTATCATTTCTTTGTGTTGAGAATCTTACAGATCTTTCTTCTAGCTACTTTGAAATATACAATAAATTATTATTAATTTAGTCACCCTACCATGTGATTGAACACTAGAACTTATTTCTTCAATCTGACTGTATTTTTGTACATCAACCAACCTATCTTTATTCCTCCTAATCTTCTGCCCCTCCTGGTCTCTAGTAATTACTAATCTCTAACTCCCTGAGATGAACATTTTTGGCTAACGCATTCTCTGAGTGAGAATAGGTAATATTTATCTTTCTGTGTCTGGCTTATTTCACTTTACATAATTTCTTCTGATTTCATTCATATTGCTGCAAGTGACAGAATCTCTTTCCTTTTCATTGTTGAATAATATGCCATTGTGTATATATACAATATTTTCTTTATCTACTCCTCTATTGCTGGACACTTAAATTGGTTCCATATCTTGGCTATTGGGAAAAATTCAATGATCACAGGAGTACAGATATCTCTTCAACATACTGATTTCAATCCTCTGGATATATGCCCAGCAGTGGGATTGTTGAATCATATAGTAGCTCTATTTCTAGGTTGATTTATTTATTTATTTATTTGAGAAAGTTTCATAGGATTTTCAATGGTGGCTATGCTAATTTACATTTCTATCAGCAGTACGAGTATTCTCCTTTCTGGCATACTTACCATCATTTTTGTTTTTTCTGGTCATTTTCATATCAGTTGTTTTAAGTGGGATAATATGATATTTCATTTTGACTTTGATTTGCATTTCCCTAATGATTCATGATGTTGAGCATTTTAAAATATACCTGTTTACCGTTTGTATGTCTACTTTTCAGAAATGTCTACTCAAATCCTTTACCCATTTTAAATCTGATTATTATTATTATTGTTTTGCTGTTAAGTTCTTTGAGTTCCTTATATATTTTGGTTATTAATCTCTGATGAATAGTTTGCAAACATTTATTGCTATTGTGTAGGTTGTCTCTCTACTCTGTTGATTGTTTCTTTCGCTCTGCAAAACTTTTTACCCCAGTATAATCCCATTTGTCTATTTTTGCTTTTTCGGCCTGCATTTTTGAGGTCTGACCCACCAAAATCTTTCAGACCAATGTCTTGGTCTGACAGATTGCTTTAAGTGGTAATCCAATAATTTCTTTCTACTCTCATTTTCCATACGTCTTGCCTTATCTTAACATGATCTAGTCTCGGTGGCTTTCACTTTTTTCCTCAGACATCAGGTACATTCCTGTTTTTGTACATTCATTCTCGATAACTTTTTGCATGCTTGGCTCCTTCTTTTCACCCATATTTCAGCTCAAGTGACACTTCTTTTCACAGAGTTTCCTCACCTGACTTCCTAAGGTAAAGTTCTTCTTACCTTTGTAATTCCCTATTAGATACTCCCTTTAATTATCTTTTTTTTAAAAATCACCCATTGCTGTCTAAAATTGTCTTGGTCATTTATGTGTTTACATACTGATTTTCTGAATTTTAGCTATAAAACTGACTGATGGATGACAGATGTCTTAGTCCATTCGTAGTTCTGTCACAAAATACTGAGACTGGGTGATGTATAAAGAGGACAGATACATTTCTCACAGTTCTAGGGGCTACATCTAAGATCAAGGCACTAACATTTATTCTGGTGAGGGCTTTATTGCTGCATCCTAACATAGTAGAAGGTGGAAGGGTAAGGGAGCCTAATGCTACATGAAGCCTCTTTTATAAGGGCTTTATTCCTATTTATGAGGAAGGAGCCCCTTATAGGCCTAGTCACCCCTTAAAGTCTCCATATCTTAACACTATCACATTGCTAACACCTGAATTTTGGAGAGGACACATTAAAACCATAGCATTAGGGCAATAAGTGTGCAATGCAAATGTGTTGGGTAAAAAAAAAAATGAATGAATTCCACCATAATATGATTTGGGTAGGTTTTAAAGGGACTTCTGTATATAATTACTGATAGGCTTGAAATTTATAACATTAGAGTAACACATGGCTTCCTAACAGTAGGGGAAGAAGACTATCACATCCTGGAGACCAACCTGAAAATATTCTTGCTTGTGTAGCATGCAGCCCTGCTGCACTATTTCATTAGAGTGGTAATTCATAAGTCAAACCACTGGATAACTGAAAAAACAGAGTATATGAAGTTTTGTGATCAATTTTGGGACTTACAATCATTCCTAGAAAGTTCTTCAATATCTAGAATACTGGATAAAGAAATTGGTAACATAACATGCCTTTCTGATATAAGAGGGCTGATGTGCTTCATATGCATAGGTTTTGGGAGTGTGAGTAACAATTATTATAGCTACTACTTTATTCACATTATTTTGTGTCTAAGGTACTATTATTTTTCCTCATTTGGCTGTAGAGAAAATTGAGTCAAATAAATGGTAGAGACTTGCCTAAGGTCATGCAACTAGTAATTAGTGGAGCTAGTATTTGACCTCAGGAAGTAGAACTCCGAAGCCCACTTTTAATCACCATACTATGTGGTTTATGAAAAAAACTAGGAAGTTAAAGCGTTTTTTCCCTAGAATAACTCCTATTAGTATAATAATATGCTTAATAGGGAGCTGCAATTAAATCAGAATTTCCCAAAATGTGTTCCATAAAACACTAATAACTCCAGACAATTTATGAGGTGAAAATATGCTAAAGTAATATCAGTTTAAGAAAACCATATAATTATACTCACTTTCCTAGGAACCCTGTTTCATGTCAGCCTTATGAGAGTTCATCTGGCTCTCTAGCACTCCAAAATACTGAAACAGAACACCGCCATGTTACTTTTAGCACAGAACAATTTCTCTCTCTCTCTTTTTTTTTTTTTTTTGTATTACATATATTGACATCCCATGAGACAAACACACACTTTGGGGAGCTCTGTTAGGATGAATTGTTAGTGTACTCAAGTAATTTGGCAAATCTGGCAGTGAAATACCAACAAAGGGAATAGAAGCAGTTAAGTTGCACCTCCATCTATTAATGACTATCACCTTTAGTTCCTACTTCACTTTATTGATAGGTTATTAATGTACAGAGAAACAGATTGACTTGTGGTATGCTGATGTGAAGTGAGTCAGTAACACTTAGGAGCACACATCTCTGTGTGGGTGTGCATATGGGCTGTGAGGAGGGAGAAGCGGGGCAGCTGAGAGGAAAAAAGCAGCTTAGTTACATACATATTTAAAAGTCAAGAGGATGTGGTGTTTAATTTCTTTTTTTCTTGGATTCATTACTCCTCTAATCCTTGACTCTGTTACCTTTAATTTTGTTGATTAAAAGGTATTATGTGGGCGGGTTAGTCTGTGCTTGATGTTACTGAACAGCAGGTAGACAGGAGCTACAGTTCTTTTTTGTTTGGAGCAGGACAATTAAAAATGTAATCAACTTTGAAAACTGGAGGGTAAAAAAGAAATACCATGAATAGACATGGATCTAAATAACTGCTTCACTAGCAGACGGTCATTGCATATCTCCAGAATTCGAATAAATTTCTTTTACATTTTGGAGAAGAGTCAGATTAGAAAAAAGATAATTTTTTTCTGATTGATCATTGCATACAAAAAGGCTTGACTTTTGCATCTTGCAACAGAACACAATGTAAAAGCTGAAAAATAAACCATAAAATACAATGCTGAAAATTTCCATATCACAGCTGCCCAGAGTGCATAACAAGAAGAATATTAGTAATGTCCAGATGCACGTACATCTACAGGGAAGCCACTTGCCAACAGCAAAATAAAAGAAATGACAATGTCAATCACATCCAATAGACTATGTTAATGTTTTTCAAACAGTTCTTTCACACTCAGAAATAGTGCTCATTAATAATGGATAGTACTGTATGAAGGAGAAGGAGGGTTGCCTATAAAACTGATGGAATTCATTGTTCATTGCTCATCTTCTCTCAATAATGAACTGCATTCCTGCAGGATGATTTTTCTTTTGTCTTTAAAACTATGCCCAAATGGTTTCAAACCTTTTAAGCTAATTAATCCCTTTCTTTACTGAACTAACTTTGCACATGTGGTACTAATGCACTGCCCATCCTCACATCTCCTTCATCTCTACCTGGTCCTACTTCAACTTACTTCCTTTTTAATTACACAGTTTTTGACTAGTACTGCTGAAATGTGCAAGAAAGTTCTCAAGCTTTTAAAAATACCTTGAAATTATGATGCTAAATCAAGAATGAGTTTCATTGTTGTTGTAATTCTTCTTCTTCTTCTTCTTTTTTTTTTTTTTTTGACAAAGTCTTGCTCTGTTGCTCAGGCTGGAGTGCAGTGGCACAATCTCAGCTCACTGCAACCTCCGCCTCCTGGGTTCCTGGGTTCAAGCTATTTTCCTGCCTCAGCCTCCTAAGTAGCTGGGATTACAGGCACCTGCCACCATGCCCGGCTAATTTTTGTATTTTAATAGAGACGCCCATCTCTTTCACCATGTTGGCCGGGCTTGTTCCAAACTCCTGACCTCAGGTGATCTGCTTGCCTCAGCCTCCCAAAATGCTGGGATTACAGCAGTGAGGCAGCATGCCTGGCCTGTAATTCTTCTTTATTTTTCTCTTCCTTTGCTTGGCTGTTCAAGCAGCTGTCAGTAGGGTCTGCAGATTTGGTGATACATTTAGAGGTTTCCATATTGCATAATCAAATATGAGTACTACAAAATCACTGAAATTCAGAAAGACTTCTGATTCCATGGGGATTAATTTCCTAATATACCACTTTCTTCAGGGAAGCACCTAATTATCTCTTTTTGACTAAGAAGTCATTTGGAGTCAATTTTATATAATGACCTCCATTTTTAACATTTTTAAGCAAATGCTTTTTTGAAATGGCTTTGAACGTAAGACCAACTGCCTATTATTCTGTTCACAATAAAAGCTACCTTTTAGCAATATATTGGAAAACACATGTAAAGAAATACTCATAGGATACAACTAAGATCTATTGAAAAATTATATTTACAGTAAACTGTACCCTTAATGATAATGTCTTTCATGTATAACCGTGAATTGCCAGATGAAAAGGACAATTTATGCAAGATGTATAGCAATGTAAAGAAAAGTATATGTTTGGACATAGATCCAATTACCAGTTAGTTGACACATTCAAGTTTTTCCCTCTATAGTTTAATTACAGGAGTGATTTCCTGTCAATGGGAATACATTTGTCTCAGTGAAGTTCTATTATATCAAACTATGAAAGGAAGTGCGGAAATATATAGTTGCTCCAGATCCAAATAGGCAGAATGCTCAGATGTGCATTCAGAATAAATACCAGCACTACCTTCTAAGTTGTCAAATTCCTAATCCATAAAACCAGCACTATGTTATGTTTCATGACAAAGGGAAATTACCATTACAGATGTAATTAAGATTGCTAATTAGATGCTATTAAAATATGGAATCCTGGATTAGCTAGGTGGATCAATATAATCACCAGCAACCTTAAACGTGGAAAAGGGAGACAGAAGAGAAAGAATGATGTCACATGAGAAAGATTGCATTCACCATTGTGTCTTTGAAGATAAAGACAGAGGGACTGAGTCAAGGAATATGGCAACCTTTAGAGGCAGAAGACGAATTCTCTTCTACAGCCTCCTGAAGGGAATGCAGCTCTGTTGATACCTTAATTTTAGCTCAGTAAGAGCTGTGTAGTAATTATAATCTAGAGAACTACAAAACACTAAAGTCATATTGTTTTAATTCACTGTGTATTAATCACAAGAACCATTCTTAAGTAATACATGATGTATCTTGCTTTTGGATGTGGTCATATTTTGTCTTTGCCCTTTAAAATGAAACAAACTACAAACATTAAAAAAGCTCCACTAGCTTTCCATTCAAAATTTCTCTCCCTCCTTCCAACTTCCACCCTCAAGTAGACCTCAATACCTCTGGTTCTCCTCTTGGTTTTCATGTTTTCACATCACTTAGCTCCCATGGTTAAAATTTCTGAGCTCATCAAGTTTGAGCTGAGGAAATAAAAAGGATATTAAAAAGATAGGTATTGGTATGTCTAAATCTGTCCTCAGGTTCTCTGGATCTGGCAAATGTTTAAATCTGACTCAAAAATATTTCCATGTGTTCTTTAGAGTCTCCACTACAAAGCACTTGAAATGAGTATGCCCGTGTCTGTTCAAGTCCACCCAGAGAAAAGGGACCTATAGGAAATACATGGATTACTCTGATGAATTGGCTTATTCACTTGTGGGGACTGGCTAAGTAAGTTTGAAATTCACAAGGCAGACAGTCAGGAAGGAAAGAGACCAAGTGGATTGAAACCCAAGAGCAAGGGCCAAAGTTTGTTGCCCACTTTCTCAAGGAAGGCCTATGCCCTCTTTTAAAAGGACTAGCAACTGATTAAGTCAGGACAACCCAAGATAATCTAAATTAAAATCCACTGAATAGGAATTTTAGTTACATTGGCAAAGTCGCTTCACATCAGTACCTACATTTCTGTTTGACTGAAAAACTGGGAAAAAGGTGTGTGCGCATGTGTGTGTGTATGTGCATAAATGTTTGTGCTATACAATGACTGTTGCTTTCTTTCCTTCTTCAGACTCTCATAAGAGAATATCTTTTGAATCCCCCTGACCCAATATTGATACATTCTAGAAAGGAAATTCTTGTTAGAGTAGTTTATCCTGGAGAAGCTGACACACCACCTCGTCATGACAGACCCTTAGTTTGGGGTGGGGGCAGTGGTGCCTCTTTTATCCTGCAGCTTTTAATTTCCTTTAAGGTCTATATCCAGGAGGATATTTCATAGTCTTTTAATACCACATGTGTTTTGCAAATACACATCTTCACTTTGTCCCTTATTCTACCCCATTACTGACAATTTCCAGAGTAGCAGAGATATCAAGGGTGTCATAAATCTTGAGGAAAATGTGTGGTTGTAAATAGTGGGAAATATATTGCGCATTGTTCACAGTAACAAGATAGAAAACATTTAATATTTCATTTCCAGTGGAATCCAATATCCTACCTTTCTAAATTTATATCTACCACTCCATTTCCTTGTTGTCCTTTTGGTTGCCTTACTGGTCTGTTTTCCACATGGTGGAGAGAGCTTTGCCCATTCTTATCCCCTGGCCTGGGATGCTGCCTGCAAAATTTTACAGGAGTTTCTCTATTGCTTCAGTTGAGTCCAGTCAATTATCATATCCATGTTGGTCACTCATCATGCCTTCATTCTACCTCATTTTTATTCCTGGAACTAATTACTACCTTAAGTTTGTTTACTTATTTTCTGCTTTCACACTAGAATTAAAACTTTTTGAAAGAAGAAACTGTGACTCTTCTTAAACATTGTGTTTCTAGTAATCTTTTTTTCTCTCTTTAGCTTTTATTTTAGATACAGGGAGTACACGTGCAAATTTGTTACATAGGGATATTGTGTGATGCTGAGGTTTGGAGTACAGATCCTGTCACCCGAGTAGTGAGCATAGTACTATAGGTACTTTTTGAACCCACCCCCGACTCACTAATAATCCACAGGGTCTATTATTCCCATGTTTATGTCCTTGTGTGCTCAGTGTTTAGCTTCCAGTTATAAGTGAGAATATGCAGTGTTTGGTTTTTTGTTCCTGTATTAATTTGCCTAGAATTATGGCATCTAGCTTTTCTTTTCTTTTTCTTTTTTTAACTTTTATTTTAGGTTCAGCGGTACCTGTGTAGGCTTGTTATATAGGTACACTCAATTCACAGGGTTGGCTGTACAGATTATTTCATCACTCTGGTACTAAGTCTAGTGCCCAATAGTTATTTTTTCTGAACCTCTCCCTTCTCCCAACTTCCACCCACAAGTGGACCTCAGTATCTGTTGTTCTCCTCTTTGTTTCCATTTATAAAATGGAGTGCTCTCATTTATAAAGGTGAGAAATGAGGTATTTGGTTTTCTCTTCCCTCATTAGTTTGCTAAGAATAATGGTTTCCACCTTCATCCGTGTTCCCACAAAGGACATGATCTTGTTCTTTTACATGGCTGCATAATATTTCATTGTGTATATGCACCACATTTTCTTCATCCAATTTACCATTAATGGGTATTTAGGTTGATTCTATGTGTTTGTTATTGTGAATAGTGCTGCAATGAACATATCCATGCATGTGTCTTTATGACAGAATGATTTTCATTCCTTTGGATATATACTCAGGCTAGCAATCTTAACAGTCCTGTAATTATCAGTTTGCTGAACTCAGAATGTAGTTCATTCTGAGGTTTAGCTTGAGAAAGTGATTCAAAATTCTCAGGAATTAATGAAACAATTTCTAGGCACTTGGTTATATTAGTATGAAATAGATACTTAAAATTTCCAATGAATAGCTATTCAGTTATTCCTCATAAGATAACTAAAGCCAGTATTTTTATTAAAAAATAAAGTTCAGAGTTAATAATTATATTTTGAAAAGTTTTTTGAGTAGAGAATAATTATTTACTTATGGGAAATTCTCAGTATGCTAAATGGTAACTAAGAGATGGGCAAATTCAGACCTTACTTCTTTCATGGTTTCACCACTTCTCAGCTATTTGTGATTTTTGAATAAAGTAAATCACAAATTTCCTATCTACCAAGTGGGGCTGTTATTGGGCACATAGACTTTCATAAGGATTTCACGAGATCTACACATATTAAATCCTCAATGAATACGAGATATTCATTTGTAGTACAAATAGATTTCACTTCAAGATCTCATATAGTTTCATGTAATCTCATTAAGTATTTAGTATGAGCCCTGGAGGTCTATAAAATGTGACTTTTTATTAATTGTATTGATTGCTTAATTTTAAAAGATATATTTAATTTTCTTTTTATTAAAACATATTTTATGTGACACAACTGCAAGAATGGCTACATTTTTAAAAATGTCACTGATGAATCACAAGGATATAAAGCAAACTAGATATTCACATGAAGGCCATATGTCACAGCTTGCCATGACACTGCAAGGTTACACCATGGTGTAAGAAACAGCATCCCCTTTCATTCTCAAAAGTATATTAGTTTGGCTTATAAATTGTAGTATTCACTTAATTAAAGCAAACAATATGAAGGATTAAAAGAGGGACTTCACTACAGATGTTTCAGAAATCAAAAAGATAATAAAGGATTATTGTGACTAATTGCATACTAATATATTAGAGAACTCAGATGAAATATATACATTTATTTAAAAACAATGTATTAATGTTGATTTAACATGATATAGTAGTAGTCCTACAATCATTAGTGAAATTAAATGTATTAAATATTCTCCCATGAAGAAACACTTGACTACAATGGTAACATTCAAAGAATAATCCAATTTCAACACAATCCTTGCAGAGAGAGAAAAAGAAAGAAAACTCTTTTACTCTTCATAAGGCAAACATAACTAATAATATTAGACAAGGATAATACCAGAAAAAGGAGAAAATAAGGGGCAATCTTACTCAAGAACCTAAGTTCAAATCCAAATGAGGTGTTGGCAAAGCAAATATGTTTTTCCTCATATAGAATTCATAGTAGTGATCTAATGGACATATATAAAACATTATACCTAGCAATAGGAAACTTCACATTCTATTCAAGAACAATTTTTTCCGGTGTAAGCTTTTTTTTTTTGATAATGTCTACACATTAAACTGTATATCAGAGTTCCCCTTAGATAATCTCATAAGCCCACCAATTGAAAATTTTAAAAATGAGATTTTTTTCTTTTTAACAAATCTTTCTCGCATCCTCTTTTTCTCACATCAGCCAGTTTACCAAGCATCACCTCTTGGAGTCATCATAAATTACTTCCATTGCTTACCCCAAGCCTTCCAATCAGTTAACTGAGTCCTGCCAGGCATATTGTCAATATCACAATAACAGCAACCTTCTCCTTTCCATTTACATTAATAATACTCTAGATAGGCCCTTCTTCTTACCATTTGAACTAATGCAGCAGCCTTCAATATCGTCATCTTCTTACCATTTTTCCCATTCTTTGGAGTCTGCAGATTGATTTCTTTAATAGAAGTATCTGATCATTACTCTCTACTTAAAACGCTTTTATGGTTTTGCCTCCCATTCAGTACATCATCTAAGCTCAACATAACATAGAGTGGGGTTCTGGTCTCCGTCTTCTAGATTATTGCCATAGTAGCTGTACACTATGCTCTATCAATATTAAATTATTTGCAGCATCTGAAAAATCAACCTATTAACTTACATTTCTTTGCTTTTCAAATGCTCTTACTTTTGCTTGTAATATTTTTTCTTCTTCTTAAATGATTAATGCATAATTTCATAACAGAGGCAAATCACAATAATTATCCACCCAGATATCCACCCACAATTTATTTATTAATATTTTTTACCTTCCTCATGACCAGCCCCACCTTCATTTCTTAATTCTTATCATACTTATCCCACTGTAGTTTAGTTTTCTTTTTATTCTTATTTCACTATCTAGAATACAAGATTCTTGATAGAAGGGACCAATACTTGACCTCTGGATTCACAGTGAGTAGCATATGCACTCAATGACGTTTTTTTGAATGAGTGTACAAGTGAGTATAAGGCAGAATATGAAAGCATATGTACTAAGTATACATATGCATACTTTAAATTTTGAAAGTGAGTCTGTTTTTACTAAATTATGAGATATTTTTCCTTTTAGTGTCCTTTTTAGTTTATATTTCTAGAGATAATGCATACATTATGCATTTTTTAAGGTGGGCAAATCAATATGGAAATTCGCTGTTGAATGAGTTAAAGTGTATGTTTGGATATTTTTGGTTTTTTGGGAAGTTGCTAAAAATCTTTAATATTAATTTTGAACCCTTTGAAAGAAACTAAAAAACAGAGTAATCAGTAGAAACTACACCACTTTTTGGCATGTGCTATGCGTTTTTGCTGAAGCAAAAGCCTGCCATATGCCGTATGTGATATGCTACCCAACTTTTCCATCATGTCAGTGAATGCATACTATCCTGCAGCCAAGCCACATGGGCATGACATGCCTTCCACTTCAGCATTTTTATGAACATTTTTTCACTTAATTCTGTCACACATGGTATTCATAATCTGTTAGGAGAAGCTCTGCCCATTTTGTCACCTTTAACATCTGAGAGCTCTTATAATGGTGCCAGAATGATTGTTCTTCTGATTTGGATCAGATGTGAGTCATTCCGGTTGAAATTTCTAAAAATGTTTCCAGTAGTCATTTTTTACATAAAAATTGAAGCAAGAATGGGTAATGGCACATACAAGGTGTGACTTGGAGTGTAGTTAATTGCAAGTGTGTTTTTTTTCACTCACACATTCATTCATTGACCAAATATTTATTGAGCCTTCATGATGTGCCAGGTACTGTGCTATATGCTGAGGAAGAAAAAAGAAGGAAAAAGTACAAAACCAGGATCCTCCTACTCTAGGAGCCTGGAGGACAAAAAAAAAAAAAAAAAAAAAAAAAAAAAAAAACCAACCACAAAAAAAGGAAAGAAGTTTTTATTTCATTCAATCTTTTTCTAAATTAATTTTAAATGATTTTGTTTCATATTCCCATCCACTCAAATTTTCTTCTTTTTTTTTTTTTTTTTTTTTTGAGGCAGATTCTCACTCCGTCATCCAGACTGGAATGCAGTGGCTTGATCTCGCTCACTGCAACCTCTGACTCCCAGGTTCAAGCAATTCTTCTGCCTCAGTCTCCTGAGTAGCTGAGATTACAGGCAACTGTCACCATGCCCAGCTAATTTTTGTATTTTTTGTGGAGACAGGGTTTTACCATGTTGGCCAGGGTGGTCTTGAACTCCCAACCTCAGGTGATCTGCCCGCCTCAGCCTCCCAAAGTGCTGGGATTATAGGTGTGAGCCACCGCACCAGGCATGAGCCACCGCACCAGGCATGAGCCACCACACCAGGCCCTGCCATTTTGAAAACAGAAAAATGCGGCCTATGAATAGAGCTATCATTTTAAGGCAGAATACTCCATTCGTGGGCTGCATTTTCCTTTTTTCAAAATGGTAAGAAGAAAATTTGAAGAATATGTGTGGAATATCAAAAGTAATCAATGTTTATGAATGAAAAGAACTAATTTTCACTGACCTTGACATTTTTATGCCAATCGCAGTTGAATTTCTGAGCACGAGAACTTTGCTTACTGGTCCACATATATTCCTATAGACATTCCTTCGATTTAGACTATGTAGCATTTATTAAACTCTCTTAGTATGCTCCATCATGATGGTAAAATTGGACTGGATAAAATTAAAAGTAGAATTTCAATCTGAATGCCTAATTTTTCTATTAAATAAATATTTTTAAAAAGCACAACTTTTCTTCCAAACTATATTTGAGGTATAGTGTACATAAAAATACCTGGCAATGGAAGACAATCTATGGCCCATAAATAGATTCCTGCACTACAGTTAACCCCACATTAAAGCCATAGCATGTAGATGAAGCATTAGATGTAATGAAACTTCTGGAAGTAATTTGAAAATTAAAAAGATGTTGAATTCAAAATAAGATAGGAAAATAAATGTTAGGATTTTACAGATATCATTAATATTCTATTTAAATTAACCAAATTGACTTAATACCTTTTAGATAAAAGCAAAAACAAAATGTTCTCCAGAATCTAATGATTCTAGAAAATATATTGTTTAGGTAGAAACAATTTTATATTAAGAAACACCTTCATTACAAAAATGTAAAATCTCTGTGTGTCCCTAGTACCTCCAGTTAATTTTATGCATGACATTGCTAGTGCACTAATGGAACAAATAATATTATAGCAACAAGAATAAAATTAAGCAGACATAGACAGAACATTTTTGAATAGATTTGAAAAGATGAAAGGATTAAAATTTAGTATCATTGAATGATAAATAATATATCTTCAGTATTGAAGCTGGCCACGGCTATGGGAGAGTATTAGTGAAGCCTCTGTCAAAGATCCTCGCCAGTGACTACAGCTCAGTTAATTCCTATTACTTTTATAGTGAACATGACAAACATTTGTGAATTCATTTTTGTTGATCACTGCCTTCCTTCATATTGCCAATTATATAGAGTCTTGTGCTCAATATATAATGTGCTGACTCCTTCCTTCCTTCCTTCCTTCCTCCCTCCCTCCCTTCCTCCCTTCCTCCCTCCCTCCCTCCCTCCCTCCCTTCCTTCCTTCCTTTCTTCCCCTCCAATCTCTATTGAGCACTGCAAGAAGTAGGAAATTTATTGTTGTCTGTTTTGAGGTGTGTGCATTTGTATGTATGTGTGTATAAGTATATGTGTCAAGGGACTGACCAAAGAAATTTGCATTCATCTCCCCAGGGATGATATTGTTCAAAATTTTAAGCCCCATATTAAATCCCTTTTAGAGTTTTCTGATCCATGAAAAATTTCCTCTATCCTACACAGTCTTGATTCTATAACTTTCTCTACTCATCCATAGTGCACCTAGACACATGAAATATTTTCTTCTATTCTGGCCTAAATTTTTAATCAGAAATTCCCCACTGGCTAAGTTTAGAGTGCCTCTGGAATCATAGAGGAAAGGAAATGTTCTAGTAATACTAGGGAACTTCTGTTATTGGCAGCGTAATTATTTTTTCTGGCTGTACCAGAAGTAACACTACCAAAGGTTTTTAAGAGGTAGCTATTTTTGAAAAAGTGATCAATAATTTTAGGTTTCTGTGTGGAATATAAAATAAATGAAATCTCATAGGCTTTAGCTGAATTACCAGGATAAGTATTTCCTCATCCACATTTTCAATATTTTAGCCAAAAGATTGCATTTCTTTCTTGAAACTGGAAATAAATTTTCTGTAAGGATAGCACAGTTTGGGAAACAGAGCATAGAGAAATGTTATCTTTATGTTGTCTTCTTACCTGCTTCCTTCCATTTATCTCCAATTAATCTAGGCCCCTGTTGTATAAGGCAAGTATTTTGCACATTATCATATGTGCATTTCCATATGATGATACTCAGCTGATTATAATCATAAAGCATCAAGAAGCCAAAAGTTTATCAGTGAGAGATAGCAAGTGGGTGTGGAATTAAAGAACTCTAAAGAGCACCTAAAAATCATTGGTAGCCTCTATGCACACAGTTAAATTTAACTCAAATAAGGATCCACTTATGCTGCTATGCTGCCATGTTGCCTGTTGACTTTGATAAAATTATCTTATTTGGAGTTTAAAATATGTTTTCTATGAGTTTGATCATCACCCAGAATGATTTACACAGTGAATAATTGGTTAAAAATAGTAGTATCCCAGTCTTTATACTTTTAAGTCAACTACCATCTAACAAACAAACAACAATTGGATAATATTACATAGGGTCTTTTAAATCCTTAATTTTGATCATTTCTTCAAAGTTCTTTAGACTCTAGGTCCCCATTGTTTATAAAGGAGTGTTAAGTTGGTAGTGGTTTGTTATTCTTCAAGTGAGTCTGCAAGACAAAGCATGAAAAAGAGATAGATCTAAAAAGAATATAAGAAAGCTTCAAACTTCATCAATTCCCATCCTCAATGGGTCTTTGATTTTGCCTTGTAGATTTATGTTGTCCACTACCAAAAAGGAATGTCTGCTTTAGCTTTTAAAAAAAAATCCTCATGGATTATTTGCCATTTTGAAATTATTTGTTAGTGGATTCCTGGTTTTGTTTAACAAATAAGATAACATTTCTAGAAAAAATAAATATAAACATATTGAATATATTTTATTACTATTTAGCTATATTATTTCCCATTTTGATTATATCCAGGCATTCAGAGTTTATCTTCTTACTTCTCTCATACTTAGCAATGAAAGATCTAAATTTAAATATAGCCAATAACCGTGCCTCTAACATTATTTAAGGAAACACATCACAGGTTTTTATGTAGTTTACTACATAATGCCACTAGATTAATCAATGGTATATTATTAGCTTCAAGATGTTTTATTAATATATTTAGAGCCGCCTTTTGAAAAGAAATTGATGTCTGCATCCTCAAAAATCATAATTAAGTTTGTTCAGAAGGAAAAAATGACAGGAAAGACTTTTTATTGGTATGTAATTAGATTGAATTGGAATTTAATAATTGTAGGATAAGCATCTTCTGCAAGGCTTATCATTTCTATCCCACAAAAGAGAATTGATTGATCAATGAGTTTAACCATTGAAAATGTTATAGCTGTTTTTATAGTCCTTTAATTTACAGTTTTAGAAATCAAATTATGTTTTCGCTTTACACAAATACAAATGTAAAAAATACAGTGAAGCCAATTGAGATGTGTTGCATTGTTCCTTAAGAAATCCAGAGTGGCATGAGTAAAAATGGTGGACTAAGGACTCTTCGAAATTCTGTCCACTTGTTACTGCTATGGCCGTGCCAATTGATATGTTAATTAGGTCTACACTGCCTACATACACTAACTCTGACCAAAGCCATAAGGTTTCATAATGACTCAATAGCCAATTATATATGCTCAAAGTTATGGTTTATTGCAAGACCTTCATACACCACCAATCATGCAATTAATACTTAACACACATGTAGTAATAAAAAAGGGCAGTAGAAAACCACAGTGATGGCTCGGGAACACCAACATGCCAATAGCCAAGTTCAGTTGGTCTGGAAGTTCTTCCAATGTCAGTGGAGAGGAAGATGTGAAGGGATTTCTCTCCAGCAGAGCTGACAAATTCCAGAGAATATCTCCAAGTTCTCACAGACAGAGCCTGAGAAGATGTCTTAAAGAAGGCCAAGTCCTAGCTGCTTTTACAATCTTCCCAGATGATTCTATTCTCATCTCATTATATCAGCTGCCTTTAAGTTTCCATTTGCTCTTTTTAGGTCTCAGGTGGTACAGGCAACAGTGGATGTTATCCCCTCAGGTCATTACATATTTATCTCTTTGAGGAAAGGAAGAACAACTTCACTGTGGTCTCAAAGCTGCTTGACATGAATGACTCCATTTTGACACGTTAAGCACACAAATCATTTTGATACATCATCATCATAAAAGCAATAAGAACAGTGGCAAAAATGTCAGAATTAATGTTTTAGAATTCTGGAAATTAACCAAAGACTTTAGTCAATCCCAAGAGTGTTTATTCAAGAGAAAAAAAAGAGATCAATCACATTAAGAAAAAGAGTTTTAGATTAATATCATTTTAACATGACCTGTTCCAATTCTCCCCTCCCTAACTTCTCATTAGCCTTGAAAATCAACCACCACAATTGCAGTGAAAATCACAACTTGGCAGAAATTGAAAGGGAAAGAATGAGATTAGAGCACCTTTCGAAGGCCTCAAAAATGTTATTATTTCACCTATTTGGTAGTTCCCGGTAAGACCACATTCACAAAGATTTTATATATATATATATAATATATATACACACACACACACACACACACACACACACACACACACATAACGGGAATTGCCCAGTTCAAGCAATCATCCCCAAAGCAATCATCCCCACTGGGACTTTGTCAAAAATAATCAGGGGCTATTTTAAAGTAACTAAAAGAGTATGGTTGAATTGTTTGTAACACAAAAGAAGGATAAATGCTTGAGATGATGGATATATTATTTACTCTGATGTAATTTTTACACATTGTATGCCTGTATCAAAATATCTCATACATTTCATAGATATACACACTTAGTGTGTACCAACAAAAATTAAAAATTAAAAAAAATCAGAGGCAATTGTTAAATTATTAAACAACTGTTGAATTGCTTCAGAAAGTACATAACAGTTGGGGAAAACAATAGGCTAACCAAAAAGCTTAAAAGGAAAAGCTGGAGAATGAGATGTTCATATAGGACTTTAAGAATTCCAAAACATCTCAAAAAACGTAGAAGGCTATGTTCATGTGTAGGGCTAAGCAGATGCCCAAAATGGTATATAGTATCAGAAAAGATAAAAAGCCTTTAAACTTTTGACCTTTATTAATGTTGAGGCTCTTCACAAGCAAGGTATAAAGGATAAGGTGTAGTTGTCAATTGGCTGAGTGTTGGAGGCATGCCTCAACATGTATACAGAACTTCTTGGCAGACACTAGGAGATATATTAGTTTCAGGTGTCTAAAGAAATCTGTCTGATCATCAGCAAAGACAAGTAATACAAACAGACTTCATTCAGAAAGTCACTAAACAAGTAACTTCATTCAGAAAGTCACTAAACAACATACCAATGAAGGAGGTGAAAGAGTCTGCCAGAGTTGCCATATTTGGTTGTTTAAATTGTCCAGTTTTTCACACACAAAGAAAGTATGAGACAAAAAGAAAAAAATAAGTGTAGCTTAAACAGCAGAGACAATTTCACTTCTTTCTTTCCGATTTGGATGCCTTTGTGTCTTTTTCTTGTGGCTAAAACTTCCAGTACCAAGAGGTGAGAGTAAATATCCTTGACTTGTTTCTGATCATAGAGAAAAGGCTTTCAACTTTCATCACTGAGTATGATGTTACCTGTGGGCTTTTCATATATGGCATTTATGGAGGTACATTTCTTCTATGCCTAATTTGTTAAGAGCTTTTAATCATAAAATGATGTTGAATGTTGTCAAATGTATCTATCAATAGGAATGTATGGCTTTGTTCTTCATTCTGTTAATATGGTGTATCGTATTTACTGATTTGTATGTGTTGAATCAGCCTTTCATCCCAGGGATAAATCCCAGTCAGTCATGGTGAATGATCATTTTAATGTGTTGTTTAATTCAGTTTGCTAGTATATTGTTGGGGATTTTGACATCTATGTTCATCAGAGATATTGGTGTGTAATTTTCTTGTCTTGCAGTGTCCTGTCTGGCTTTGGTATCAGGGTAATGTTGGCCTTGTCCACTGAGTTTGGAAATTTTGCCTAGTTAAAACAGTAATTGCCATTCACAGTGATAGGATCCAAAGCATCTTACCCCTACAGATGCCTCTTTGGCACAGTGATTATTTTGAGGTAAAACCACTGGAAAAACAGCTGATGAAAGCATGGGACTAATAGGTTCCTTTTTCTACTTAAAGCAGAAAAGAAAACTTCTATGTGAAAACTGCTCTCTCTGTAACAAGAGGAAAGACATTCTTGTCCACAGAAGAGGTGTCCAGGATAAGAGAAATCTATACGAAAAACTATAGGCCTTGGATTAAGCAATGGTTTGTTAGATACGGTATTTAGAGCATATCAACCAAAGAAAAAAATAGATACATTGGACTTCATCAAAATTATTATGATTTTGCTTCAGAGCACACTATAAAAACAGTGAAAAAACAACTCAAAGAATGAGAAGAAATATTTATAAATCCCACAGTTAGGAATGGTTTCATATCTAAAACACATAAATAACTACTTAAGCCTCAGCAATAAAAAGACAAACCAATATTTAAAATAGACAAGAGAGTTGAATAAACATTTCTTCAAAAAAGATATGCAAACAGCCAATAACCATGTGAAAAAAATGTGCTCAACTTTTTTGTCTATAGAGGAATGTAAATCAAAACCACACTCAGATGAAAACTTCATACACACTAGAGTGGTTATAATAATAAGAAAAAAACATGAATAGGTATTGAAGAGATTGTGGAGAAGTTGAACAACTCATGCATTGCTGGTGGATTGTAAAATAGAACAACTGCTTTAGAAAACAGTTTGTCCTTCCATTGAAAGTAAAACATAGAGTTACAAAATGATCTAGCCATTCCACTCTTAAGAATATATTCAAGAGAATCAATCTTCACTCACACACATATTTGTACCCAGATATTTAGAGCATCATTATTGCTAATAGCAAAAATGTGGAAAAAACCCAAACATTCATCAGTAGATGATAAACAAAGTGGTATATCCATAAAATGGAATATTATTCACCAATTCATGGAACCACATGCATGAAACTTGGAAATATTATACTAAGAGAAAGAAGCCATACAAAAGGCCCTGTCATATATGATTTTATTTGTATAAAATGTCTAGAATAGGCAAATCCATAGAGACAGAAAGTAGTTAATGGTGGCCAGAAACTCAGAAAAGAGGGGAATGAGGTGTTTCTAATGGGTATTGCTTTATTTTTGAGATGATAAAAATGTTCTGGAGTTAGATGGCAGTGCTGATTTCACAAATTTGTGAATATACTAAAAACAAGTGAAGTACACACTTTAAGAATAAATTTTCTATAAAGTGAATTATATCTGAATTAAAATAAAGTAAATTTTACCTACTGTAATCAGTTATTTGTCTAATGATGACATATTTGAAGAAAACTAGCAGAGATTTTTATAAGATATATAAATATTGCAATGATCAAATTTGTGGTACTTGTTCTATTTTAAGCAGACAGCTATACAACTACAATGGTGTTAATAAGTTGAAAATATTATAATTATATCTCCTGTATTCTTAGCCATATTTTCCATTCATTCTGATTTTGTTAGCATTTAGAAATATTTTCTGTTCTCTGTTTAGATAAATAGGCCATTATAAGCCATTTAAGGTTTTTAAAGTGTTTATGTATATAAATCCCAAGATGAGTTTTCATGAGTGAGAAAATAGTTAAATTTTCAGATCAAATAAACATTTTTTTAATGTTAAACCCAGTAAGAACCTTTAAGAATTTAAAAACACAAATTATTTTTATTTGATTTCCTTGTTTGCTTTCTCTTAATTAAAACTCAGATATATTGAATTAATTGCAATTATTTGTTCATGGCACATTGCCATCATTGGTCTATCCACTAACCATATGTGTTTATGTATTTTATATTATTTCATTTACATACCTAATATCACCATGAACATACCATCCAGCCTCAGACTCAAATCTAGTTTATACACTATTACTAATATCTGTTTATACAAGTCTCTCCATCTCATCCCCAAACCTGTCCTTCAGAACTACTATTTTTAAATTACCATTTCCTCTTTTTTTAATCTATTTAGTTACTGTCTTGACAATCTGTAATTAATTTTTACTTGCTTTTAATCTTCATAAAAATGTGAGTCGGTACTAAGGCTCATATTGTGTTCCATTGATCAAATTAGTCTATCTCTTCACCAATAATACCACTGCACCTTAATAATAATGTTTTATAATAACTTATAAAGTACTCTGTTATTATTTTTTAAATAAGTTGCTCTTATTGGCACTTTGCTCCTTTGTACACAATTTAGATGATTGTTTCTTTTTAATTCTTGAAAATTATTTTTATTCTTTGAACAATTTTTTCACTATGTTTTTCTCCAAAATTATGTTACTTGAATGTCGAACTTCTATTTAATCTCCATATATCTTGAATTGTATATTTTGTATTGTTTTATATTATCTTATTTTGTTCTAGAAGAGTTTTTTTAATATAGTCATCCAAACACAAACTTGATTGTCAGCTAAATTTCAACTGCTACTCCTTTTATCTTGTCTTATTATATTTTTACAAAAAATATTTCCATCTGAACTCTTAAGAGTTTCTCATTCTTTTTTAATTTGCTAATATAACTCATTTTTCTTCTTTAGATTTTTGGCCTGACTATTCAAATATTTCTGCTTCAGAGAGTATATATTTCCCAGCCTTTTTTTCTCTGAAGGTAATAGTTCTGTGGAATTTTTTTTTTTCTAGTTGATGATCTCTGATATTCCTGGGCTCATCAGCTACTCTGTTTCATAATATGCATTAGAAGGATAGAAGGCTAGCACCTGGCCTGTGGCATTTCAAGTGAGTCCAAGGAGGCTGTACAGGATAAGCCCTAGGGGAGAGAACCGCAGATCCCAGCAAACCGTAGTTAATTACATGTATTTGCTATCATTTCCACAAAATCAGATTTAGAACTTCAACTTAAAAATCCTGCCTGTAATCCCAGCACTTTGGGAGGCTGAGGCGGGCGGATCACGAGGTCAGGAGATCGACACCATCCTGGCTAACACGGTGAAACCCCGTCTCTACTAAAAATACAAAAAATTAACCGGGCGTGGTGGTGGGCACCTGTATTCCCAGCTACTTGGGAGGCTGAGGCAGGAGAATGGCATGAACCTGGGAGGCGGAGGTTGCAGTGAGCAGAGATCATGCCACTGCACTCTCAGCCTGGGTGACAGAGCGAGACTCCGTCTCAAAAAAAAAAAAAAAGAAATCCTGAACAAGCAATGTTTTAGGAGAAGACAATATTCTTAGAATATCCATCAGAAAAATCAATATAAAAATTTATAAAATATAGAAAAACAATGATTTCTCGCTTATATTTTTCTTGACCTCATGCAAGAGGTTTCTTGTGGCGTACTGATGTCAACTACTGACCTCAGTGGAAGAGAGCAGCTAATGACTATTCTAAGGTGGTAGTGGTGGTAGGAAGGGTACAATATGGGCAGAAATAACAAACTCCAAACAATTTTTCTTATTTGTCACTCTCTCCACTATGGCTAGCCTAATTAGGACTCCATCCAGGCTACACACATCCACAACACACGCATACTTTCAAAAAAAATAAAACACCTTCTATCTCACTGGGTCTCATTCCTTTTGATGTTGTTGATACACTGGATACCATTCTTCCATCTCTTATTTCTCTAGGCTAAGTTTTGACAGAAGTAGCTAGAAGAAAGAGTAATTGCCATCATGTCAGGAATCAAAGTTGTCCTCCTTTCCTTTTTGCTTAGGTGTATATTTGCAAGCTTTATTTTTCCCTTTCAGAAAATAAGAAATGGGCTAGTGTAAGTATTTTTAAGTGCACTTTTTTTTGGTCTTCTCTTTCCATTTGCATTAGACAAAAAAAAAAAATCCTTTAGAACAGAGTTGAACTATCTCATCACAAAACTGATCTCTTCTTGAAGAACTGTGGCACTTTTTTGACTATAACAGTGATAGAAAATACACTGAAAATATATGCATGTTTTCTATGAAATTTCTTTGTGCGATAGAAAGTACTTGTATTTTTCAACAGCAATGATATCTTTTAATTTACGACCAAGCAATAACGGCTTTTCTTTTTTTTTTTTTCCTGAAGTCGGCTAAAGCTAAAAGTTAACCATCCATACTTATACTTCTACACATTTCCCTCTGCTCCAATTATATTGCTAATGGAATCACAAAAAAACCTTTTAATCTGCAATGGCAGCTCAATCCTTCTACTTTGCCTACTCTAGGTTCAGAGAATTCTTTTGGGGTCTTTTTATCCCTGGTGAATTTCTTACCAAATTACATTCAATAATTGTTCAAGTCAGTACTGATTCATTTATTGCCTACTTAAAGAAACAAATATGTTATATATGTCAACTTTAACAGTGCTGTGTACTAAAGGTCATTATAATAATGCTACCCTTTTGCCCTTTTTTACACAAAACAATATTACCATCCCAATTTCCTCATTTCCTCTCTCCCCTTGGCCCACACATACATGTACATACACACACAAGTACACACACACACACACACACACCAAAATTTAGAATTACAAAATGCAGTTTTAATTACATTCTGTGAAATAAGTTGTGATCAATTTGTTCCACAGATATATGATTTATTGGTAAAGTTTTGGGACAAAGGTATATAGATGAGAGATAGCACTTGGCAGGAAGTCTGTTCCCATGAATGAAATAAGATGATTGGACTATTCTAGGTAGAAGTTGACTTTGGTTTCATTAGCATAGATGTCTATAGAAGTGGTGGGGAATTGGCCTGTCCATACCTGAATGCCAGAAGAGTGAAATTTTTTATCAGCAATAAAATATTGCTCTGTACATGATATTAAGTAGTGAAAACAAAAATACGTGTGTGTGTGCGCATGTCTGAATCATGTATATGAAATAGTGAGAATAGTAGGGTTCATTAGATAGGATAAAGCATGTGTATCTGAAAATCATTAATCACCATTCAACACAACTAATCATAAATGCATTTATTGATAATTTAGAAAAAAGTCGATTGGTTTGAAGATACCTCATATTGACTTACCTAGCTCTCAAAAATATGTATACGAGCTGGGCACAGTGTCTCATGCCTGTACTTCTAGAACTTCGGGAAACCAAAAGGGTGAATTGCTTGAGCCCAGGAGTTTGTGACCAGCCTGGCAACGTAGCAAGACCCTGTCTCTACAAAAATATTTTTAAAAATTAACCAGTTGTGGTGCTGTGTTCCTGTGGTCTCAGCTACTCAGGAGGCTGAAAGAGGAGGATTACTTGAGCTCATGAAGTCAGGAAGTCGAGCGCATTGAGCTGTGACCATGCCACTGCACTCTCGCCTGGGCTGCAGAAGGATACACTGTTTCAAAAAAAAAAAAAAATTGCATTCAAAGGGACTTAGTTGTTAGATTATTAAATTTATTTCCCTTTTCCTGCCCCAGAAATCTGAGATAAACATATAAAAATCTTCCAGCCATAACCAGTGCATAAGATGTGAAAAATACTTTCTGACTATAAGTTAAAATGATTCAACCACATATGTGAGCAAGTACTTCTATCTTTAAACTAGTTTTTTTTTCCTAAATTATCTTAGTTTCTTTCTGTTTAGTGATATTCCTTAAACATTGGGTTCAGTTAATATATCAAAAGTATAATATAGTATTTTTATTTTAATATTTAGAGATTTTTAAGAAAATGTTATGCGAATTTTAAAAAGTTTTAAAAAGAAAATGTAACATTTATTGAGCACCAATTATTTATCAGTTTATATTTATGTTTATAAATTTATATTTACTTATATTACTATAAATATAATTTATATTGATTTACTTGTAAATATAACTATTTTTACTTATCTTTAGTGAAAACTATTGTTTTTCATCTCCTACCATCCACCTGTTATCTCCTTCTTTCCCACTGAAGCTCTCCTCACTGTTGCTTTAAGATAGTAGCCCTGAGATTTTCTTTGCGAAGCTCCTCATCATCCATACTTTATCTATACAGTTGAAGTAGGATTGGTCCCATACACATCTTTAGATATGGGCATACAACTCAGGATAAACCAACTTGAGCATTTCATTTTTGTGGATACTGTGACTCATTCAGAGATGGGTGTCGGACACATACAAAGCCAATAAGGGCAGGGACTTACAATCCTGCAACATGTTTTAAACAATTGGTCAAGGGGAGATTTAACTCTAACAATGGCGGGCTCACTTGCTTTTTACCAGTCCACTACCTGAACACAACTAAAATAACTGAAGAACATCTCTACAATGTCTGTTTAAAGGGATTGGGGAGTTAACTATGTTCCAAAAAAAACCTCTGGAAGGTAAATCTGACATTTGGCATCACTTTCCTGTAAGGTGTTTGTCAAGTAAAAGCAGAGAATGGGAAGCTGAGAATCTGAGCAAAAAGAGGCAGTTGAGAGGCTTAGAGGTACAGCTGTCCATCTCAGGGTTTGGGACTAAAAATGAGTGTCTGATAAATACTTCTGGTTCCATTTGAAAAAAGTAAAATCTAAAGCCTATGAGTAAGATCACACCAGAAAAAAAAATAATTCTCACGAAAATTAAACAAGAATTATTTATTATTTATTATTATTATTATTATTATTTTTTGAGACAGAGTTTCGTTCTTGTTGCCCAGGCTGGAGTGCAATGGCACGATCTCAGCTCACTGCAACCTCTACCTCCCGGGTTCGAGTGATTCTCCTCCCTCAGCCTCCCAAGTAGCTGGGATTACTGGCACCCACCACCACGCCCTGCTAATTTTCTTTTGTATTTTTAGTAGAGACGTGGTTTCGCCATGTTGGCCAGACTGGTCTCAAACTCCTGGCTTCAGGTGATCCACCCGCTTCGGCCTCCCAAAATGCTGGGATTATAGGCGTGAGCCACTGCATTAGGCCTAAACAAGATTTAAATTAATTCAGTTCCTGACATGTTAAAGCAGTTATTCTTAAGCACCACGAAAACACCTCATCCTGCTGCAGGGAACATATAGCTATGTATAGATATTTTTGATTGTCACAATTTGGGGGAATGCTGCAGGCGTCTGATGGGTGGCAAATAATTCTGCTAAGTATCCTACAATGGACAACTCTTCACAATCAAGAATTATCAAGTCCAAAATATCAAGTAGTCTTGAGGTGTAGAAACCCTGGTTTAAGTTGATTTGTGCTGACCTAACTGATAGCTGGAAGAAAATCTGGAGAAATTTAAAATTATGTAATTCTTCAAATTGTCTCTATTTTTTTATACTAAATTATCATACTTAATAAAAGTCCAATCAAAATAACTTGCAATGAGAACAGCAAGAAATTACTAACAATGAAGAGAAAGAACAGGTGACAAAAATACACTCAAAAAAATTAGAAATTAGAATAGTCCTACTTTAATTTTAAAAAGACAGCAACTATTTGAAGTGTTTTAATGACAAAATGGCAAATGTTAACAGAAACCTGGAAGTCATATAAAATAATGAAACTTATTTTAGAACTAAAAAATTAATACAATTTTTTTTTCTATTCCTATAATGGATTCATTCAACTCTAAAGTTTCAGATTGAATTAAATATCAGGAAGTATATACATTTGAAAAGCACAATTACCTAACTATAGGATTTAATTGACATGTACAAAATACTGTACAGAATAACTCAACAACACACATTTGTTTCAACTTCTACTTGTGCAACTATATGCTGTTCTACAAAGCAAGTAAACCTCAACAAACTTTTAGGTTTTGATAATATCAGTCTTTTATCTGATCATAGTGAGATTAAGGTAAGAATCAACATCAAAAAGATAACTATAAAGTACTGTTCCATTTGAAAATTAAGAAGTACTTATAAACAATATTATAGTAAGAAAGTACATATAAAAGTTTATCATAATAGCATATAGTTTTATACTTTTACAGTTATTACAGCATAGAACCCTGTACTTTGTACTCTGAAGTTAATTAAATGACATGTTCTGTAGATTAACCTTAATGTTCCCTTCTTCTCTAAACTTTTAAATTCTGCTTTTTATTCTTATGAAGTTTCCTACTTTGTGTAGCAAGATGTTTGCCTGGAATATCACTTTACGTTCTAACCTCTCTGGAACCCAAGGTGATAGTGAATTTCTATTGCCTAACAATTTAATTTGCTTTTCAAATAAACTACTTTTTAAATTGAAATATAACTCAGCACAGAAAAGTCCACAATGATAAATATGCATCTTTATGTACAGCTCGGGGTAAAGTGAGAACAAATCATATAACCACCACTCTAGTAAGAAAACAGAACATGGCCAGGATCCTGAAGCCCCTTTTAACCATAATCGCCAAATAAATAATCAAATTAAAGGTTATAAAGTGTTAAAAATAGTGCAAGGACCACTGGTTCCTTAGTATACATTAAATGCACAAATCAAAACTTGTGGACTGCAGCTTACGACATGATTAAGGGACAAACATTTTTGGATATAGCCTGGATACTCATTCAGTGAGGTATCTGATTTAGTCCATTTGTGCTGCTATAATGGAACCACAGACTGGGTGAGTTATAAAGAACATAAGTGTATTCTCTCACCGTTCTGGAGGCTGAGAAGTCGAAGACCAAGGTTTTGGCATCTGATGACAGCCTTTTACTGTGTCCTCACATGTGAAAGAGCAAAAGAGCAACTCTGCTTCTTCCCATGGCAGATAGCAAAAGACAGTGAAGGCACTCCTGCAAGCTCTTCTTATAGTGACATTTAATCTATTCATGAGGCTGAAGCCCTGATGGTCTACACACCTCCCAAAAGGCCCCACCTTACAATACTGTAGCATTGGTAATTAAGTTTCCAACACATTAATTTTAAAGAAGACAAAACTATTCAAACCATAGCAACTATTATCCGAAATTTTGAGTAGGTTAGCTGCATGACATTTTAGGAAGATTAAACAGGTAGTTGTATAGCCACCTATAGAGTAAAGAGATGAAGTAAATGAGCACAAATACAAGATTATTGCACTAATTCAGAAGTGAGGCTTTTATACATAGATAAGTGGAAATAGAAAAGAAAAAGATATACATATAACGTAAGGAATTCTTAACTATAATGTGTGAAGGTGAGGCTGAAGATAAAGGATAGGAAAGAATCAAGGATAGCATTATGACTCTGTCCCTGAGTGGGGAGTGACAATTAAGAGAAATAGGGAAGCAGAAAAATATTTAGTTAGATGGAGATTGATTGCTTTGATCTCAACTTTTTGGTTATGGGGCTTTATTTTTGCCATTAAAATAAAAACAACAAACCTATGAACCAAATGCGGCTAGTAATAGAATGACATCTTATGCCAAATTTAAAAAAATCTTTTTAAATGTTAATTGTTCTTTCTGCACAAAGACACAAATCTATAATAGACCCTGTATGACCATATCTAGATAATCTATCCCCAACCCAATAGAATGTAAAATGTATATTTCATATAAATATCAGAAATTTTAACCAAAATTGAACCTGGTTATGACAATTGATGGAGGTCATACTTAAACTGGAATTGCATCCAAATTTACTGCATAGACTTCCATGTGTACTTGGAAAATGAAATGCAAACCTAAGAAACTGTGAGTAGCAATTTCCACAGAGGCTTTTAAAGATATATGGGTCACAAGAATGGTTCAAGGAAGTCTTCTAAGATGATCTCTTTTTAGCCACTATTTGAAGCAAACAAGTGATGGTGATATTATTCAGATATTAATATTCAGAGAATTTGGTCACTGTGTTGAAAAGGAATCTGGAGATTACATAGGTATATGACTTGAGTGAAGACAAAGTTACGTCTGCTATGTACACGCTCTTTCTGAGCAGCATCAAGAAATAGGCTTTCCCACTTTTGAAAATAGGATCAATTGTCCCATGGATTGCATTTGCTTTGTTTTCTCAGTGCTTAGGATCACTTTTTCTACTACCCACGTGGCTTCTGTTTGGCATTAACATTGATTTTATTATTTGGATATGTCTCCTATTTTTTTTCTTAGCTGATTGTAAGATTTTTCTAATTCTAGTTTTTAAATATTGGAATCTAATGCAGCACACATAAGTGTGCAAAAATCTTACAGGTATACAATATATAACTGGGATATATAGGAGGTGGCGGATAAAATTTGCAATCTTATAACTCTGATACTTTTCCATGAAATGGAAAATTAGCTTTAAAATAATTAATTTTAACTGGACTAGCAAAGAGTTTAAAGTATTGATAAGAATGATCTTAAATTAACAGTCAAATGAAATTATTCTATACTACTTTGGGTATCTAGCAATTAGTTTTTCTTTTTAAATCTCCATAAACTCATATAAGACAAATTCTCCAAAACCTATTAATAATATTAATATAAAATAACATATAACACATATAAAACATTGTATTATCTTTATTTATAGTAGTAAGAGTTATCAATCCTGGTTTGAGCTATCACAAAGTTCAAATTATTCACATTGTAGTTCATGAGTTCTTACTACGTAACTTTTTTTAAGGATAAGATTTGAATTTTCAGGAACTTTAGTTTAAACAGATACCAGAGAGTGATTTTATATACTGATGCCTTTCATAGTGTTCATTTCATATATACAGCCATGTAGAACACATTCTTAAGATCACTGAGGTTGTCACCTTAAAGGAGTATTGCTGCTACTGAATCAGTCTGAAGGCAAGAACTCCATGAACCAAGTCACTAGGGGATGTATCCTAGTTTTTCCCAGCTGTAAATTTCTCTTTGTGTGTGTTACAAACATGTCCAACACTAACTATGACTGTTAGAGCTTAGCATTCATTTCCCCTGATATATTGACACTAGAGTGAAACATGGTGGCCTGGGACAAAGAGATTTGGTGTTCTCACGATGAATCACCCCACACCAGCTACTGATAAGCACTGCCACAAATCATGGATAGCGGGCAAGGTCCCCTGCCCTAATTTGCTTTTTAAATTTTCATTCAGGCAGTGTAACTTCATTACATCCCTGCAAGCAAGACCCCAGGCATTGTGTGAAGGAGATTTATAGTCAAGTTAAGACAGTCATTTCAGACTGCAAAGAAATCCCTTCACTTGCCCTGTGTCAGTGCTTTATTTCTTAGTTTGAGCAAGTAGATTTCATATGAGATAACACCTTTTTTAGAATGACTGATTTTTTCCCTCTATATCACTGAAAGAAGGAATTTACTTCTGCATATAAATAAGCAGCTAGCATTCATTATTATCTCTAATCACAGTTTCATAGAAAATCAATGTGTAAAAACTCTCTTTACTATTCTTTACTGTTATTCCCTAAGTATAGTTTTCCTTTTGCTGTTAAAAGGGAAAAAGAACTCAGCAGATTGACTCCAGGTGAGGATATACATTCTGACATAAGGCTACAAGTATGATGAAGAAAGAATGTATCATGCCAAACACCTTCAGCCATATTGTCCATAAACCAAACCTCGTCAAGTAACAGGCAGCTTTCTTTCCCACCAAACTGCCTCTCTTGTTTGAGTCACAGCATTAAAACTTGGCAGATCAACTTTTACTACTGATGGAAATGTTGCCTATGTACTATTGCTTGGAGAGTAAAGAGCCCAGTAGAACTCTCAAGGAGTTTTGACACCCATAAACAATTTTTAAAAACTTCCATTTGGCACAATGAAAACAACTTAACTGAAAAGATGATGAGCAAGATCATTTTGGAAAGAAACCCTCCCTCCTAGAAAAGAATATTATCTTTTTGAGCAGAGGAGCCATTAAAAGTAGCACATGATTTACTAGTTGGGGTAGGCAAAAAATCCTACCCTTTCTTTTCTGTTCAATTTGTATTAGCAGTAAAGAATGTCTACATTTCTTTTAAAAATATTTTTCTGTCTTACTGAAAGTAGTTGATTCACTACACATAGTAAACATTTTATAGAATATTATATTCAGCTCTGATTTCTAGAATAATTAGTGTCATATTTTAAAACACAAATTAGGTTTAATCCAAAAATGAAATAGAGTAGGTTTAAAGAGATAAGCTAAGGGCAAGCACTACTTAACAGAAAATAAAATAAATATAAAATGTATTTCTTTTAAATTAAAACTTTACTGCAAGTTTCTTAATATTCGTATGTATTTTCTGAAACTAGAATTGAATCTAGAATTATTTATGTATTTTAGTCTCATGTATTCCTCAAATGCCTGCTTTGAACCTGGACTTCAGTTATCACTTAGAAATGCAAATTGAGGCCCGGCACAGTGACTCACACCTGTAATCCCAGCACTTTGGGAGGCTGAGGCGGGAAGATCATGAGGTCAAGAGATCAAGACCATTCTGGCCAACATGATGAAACCCCGTCTCTACTAAAAATATAAAAATTAGCTGGGCATGGTGCCCACCTGTAGTCCCAGCTACTCGGGAGACTGAGGCAAGAGAATCGCTTGAACTTAGGAAGTGCAGATTGCAGTGAGCCGAGATCATGCCACTGCACTTAGCCTGGGGACAGAGCAAGTCTCTGTCTCAAAAAAAAAAAAAAAAAAAAAAAAAAAAGAAATGTGAATTGAAATATAATGCAAAGAACTATTTATTACAACTTCCACTAAATATACAACTCAAATACTTGTCAGTAATATAACTGATAAGTATTCAGTCTCAACCTCTAGCTCAGCAATTTCAAGTGACATCAGTAAAAATGCTGATTGCAGATGTGTGGGCAGCATCCGCTCTTCAGGCCCATGGCCTGCGATGTGCCCAGGAGTGGTGAACTTTGACTATCTTTAGTAATATTTTCTGTATTGATGCAATAAATCAGAAGTATGTCAGTTTAGAATGTTGTTGGCAACATGTTTTTACATTCCCAGGAGTGAGGGGTGTTGTGTTATCTTTATATGGCATACATAGCACAAACAGAAATGTTAAAAACAAAAAGTAGAATAGAAGTTAATATCGTTTTTAACTCTACTGGAGCTAAGCCAATTTTTTTTTCTTTTAAAAATGTAAGAATAATGAATATGCCATTGTAACTTTTGGGCTATTCCACATATTCCTTTTGAAAACCATGTCTTTGAAGTTTATTCATTATAATAGTGAATATCCTATTAAAATGTATTTAAGCTTACTTATTTTTGTTAAAATTAATAATAAAACATGTTAATAAATAATATAAATAAATTTCTAGGGATAGATAAAAAGAACTAGATCACATTTCGGAAAATGAAACAAATGGAAAATGATACGAATTGCATTTTTTAATTTAGTACACTTAAAAGTAGCAGTAATTGAAAGGAATACTGCTCTTCTTCCCTTCAGAAAGAAAATCCATTTATTTTCCTTATTTATCAGTGTTGGGTATAACCAAGTGCTTCACAGAAAACATAACCCTTACAATTGTCTGAATTTTAACTGGCTACTGTGTTTAGATTTTCAATTTTCCTTCCTTTTTCTCTGCCAGTTTTGAAGAGAGTGTTCATATGCCTCACAATATGCTGAGCCCAAGATGATCAGCCAAGTCTTGGCTTCTTTGAGAGCTTAAACCCTTTAAACTCAGTGCTCTTTCCAGCTGGCAGGTCAGCAGCACTGAGCAGACACTGCAGGTTTCTGCTTAGTTAAGTTTCCACAAATGCAGCTCTGCTTATTCTTAGTGAGAAAGGGGAAGAGTATCTGCCCCGTGAACAATTCTATCCATCTTCCTTTTCTTAGCCCACTGTGTCTAATCTGTTTGGCATTGCAGGCTTTTTCTTCTTCTTTTTTAATTCATAACTTTTTGATTGACAGATATTATTTAAAAAACAGTAAAGATGTTAATGTTTTTTATGCCTAGAGACATATTTACTTCTCATGAAACCTGCAAATAGTTCACTCATTTTTCCAATTTACATAAATAAACATGTTTTGCAAGATAATTCTCCATAGATTTACTTTTAAGATGTTAGCTTTTATATAGAGATTAAAGTAACAAGAAGCAATAGAGACTTTCTTTAAGCTCATTTCTTTCTTCACATCTAAGCTCTAATTCAGATATTTCCTCCTTAATGCTTGAACTCTTGTTCAAACACTGACAGCTTTTCTTAGGGTTACAAAGGTAACTCAAACCAGCCAAACAAGGTTTAAATGTCAGTTTATTCTGGACATTTGCTTTAAGTCATTACTAAAACCTCAACATAAAAATAGAATTGTAGGGTAGAACTTAAATCACTAATGTAGCTTGTACATGTAAAAATTCAATATTGGCTGAAGTCAGCTTAAATATATTAGAATCAGAATGTAATCATTACATTGGTACATGTCTTTGATTTTTCTACATTATCTGCAGCTGAAAATACTGGTTTGCTCTGGTTTGGGTTTAATCAGTTTGACATTCTTATGGTAGAGATCTGTGTAAATGATTGAATTAAAAGAACCACACCATAATGTCACTTATTATATGATTGGTAGGCTTAATTGTGGGCAAAATAATGACAACAATAATAATGATAATATTAATTGATTTTGTGTAACAGGCCTATGTCAATATACTGTACTTTAAACTGATCATTCTGGTTTTGAAAACTCTCCCTCAGCTCTCATTTATTTTTTATTTTGGCTGACACATATTTGGGTTTGTTTTCCTGAACTTCAAGAGAAAAACAAATCCTTTTCCTGACTTGTTACTTATATAATTTTTCTGTCTAACTTATATATTAATAGTTTGCCCTAAGTATTTTATTTTCTTTCTTAATTTGTGATTCCTGACCCCGGGGCTTTTACATGTCTTTAGATGAGAAAATGATCTACATTTGTAAGCAATAAAATTACTCTTAAATTCAAACTTTTGTTAGTGCCATTGCAAACTGTTAGGGGATGGGGGGATGAAATGCTGAAAACTTATCAATGAAATGGAAAACTAGGCTTAAAGAAATAGGAAGGGAGAGTGTCATAGTCTGTTAAACACTTCTATTTATTTATTTATTTATTTATTTTAATTATACTTTAAGTTCTGGGATACTTGTGCAGAACATGCAGGTTTGTTACATAGGTACATATGTGCCATAGTGGACTTTAAACTTCAATATAAGTTACAGAAGAGGAGCGCTGGCTTTTTAATAACTTTAAAACCCTAATAATTTTAGCAGCCAAATGTTTACTACATTGCAAAAGAATAATAACATTGTTTTGATAACCTATAGAAGTGATCCAATCAAATGGTGGTTGGATATTAAATAGCAGCTATCTAGTTTCTGAGTATAGAACCTAAGTTTTGTGGATACATTTAAAAAAAGAATAGTAAGTTAATATAACATGGACATAAGGGAAACTAAGGGGAAACATCCTTCACTTGGCAATATTCTAGTCAATTCAGTCTTAGTAATCACAGTGTTAGACACCTAGGCCTCTTTTAAAACCGCCTCTGCCACATTTTTATTTCTGTCAGTGATGCTGCCAAGCTTTAGACTTTTAGACCATTAATCAATGTACCATCTTCTTCTCCTTCCCTGTTGTTTTATCTGAGCTATGCGCATATGTAGCATATGTATTATTCTTTAATTATGAATTAAACAGACATTCCTACAGAGAACACGAAGATCCACACACAAATGGAACAACACATGGATACACTTACCTGCATATGTGGGCACACAGGTGCTTTGAAGAATAAAATGCATACTATAATGTTTATGGAATCTAAATTTAACTTCAGATAGAATGAAAGATTATGAGTGAATATTGCAGAGAAAAATCTATAGTGTTTGAAACCAATGTGACCAAAATTTAGAGAGCCGAAAGCAGCACTCTTTAGTGTAGATAGGAAATAGAAATATAGTTAAGGATGAAAATGTAATTAGATTTTACTCTCCATGTTAAATCTTGAGAGAGAGATACTTATTACTCAAAGAATGGCTGGCTGTACTTGCTGGTGATTAAAATAAGCTTCCTTGTGTTATCTCACCATGTAAATTGTTATTGCCTCTCACATTTTGCCAGGGGTATTCTGGTCAAGGATCTAAACCTGTGATGATATATAAGTCATCTCAAGAAAAAACAAGGAACCTAGCAATTCAACCTCAGATATATTAGTATTAGGATTCTGCTTTTATTGGGTTTAATTCAGACAAAGTTTCTCCGGGCTTTTCTGTTTGGGGGAGGTGCCAGGAAAGGAACAAGGCTTGCACTTAATCAAAAAGAAATGTGAATTTTATTTAATTTATTTGCTTGCAATGCGATCCCATAAGTCATTATTTTTTTTAAGTCCCTTCTTGGGTTTACAGAATCAAACAGGAAGCACAAGAGCCAGGGGTTTTTTTCTGAGTTGTGACTACATTCTAGCCTTTCAGTTGTGCTTTCTGAACTTCCCTCCAAGCAGGTTACTAAAAGAGGATGACAGACTCATATCTAGAAACATTCTTGGAAAATCAGCATATGTTTGTGCCCACTGATAACCTAGGAAAACTGTCTAAATAATGTTTCCAGCTAATTTTTATAATCACTTTGCTTTTTGCTGTAGGAATTTTTGCATTAATATAGATATTATATATTTAATATTTCTAGATTTAATATAGATTTTTAAGTCTCTTGGCTTCAGGCAATCTTCTTAACAATCTATAATGGGGATTGAAAAGGACTAAAGATTAGAAGTTTTATTTTAAAAAATTACCAGCTAATACTTTATAAAGCATTTTTTGAAGTATCAGAGGAACAATGAACTCAGTAATTGGAATACCTTCATTTTCTCTTTTTTTCAAGTACAAAATATATTTTGTCAAAAATAGACTGCATTAGTTTATTGCATCTTCTTTCAAGATATGCCTTCAAAAGATTTTTCTGATTATTTACTTTTGTGTAAGATAAGTCAAATAAAGTCTGGCAACTGTCAGAAATATTTTAACAAAGCTGTCAAAATGGTAGCAATAACAAAACAATAATAGTAACAAATATTTTCAAGAGCCTACATTTGTCAAACACAGTGCTAGGTATTTTAATTAGAATTGTTCATTATTTTATAGCACCTCCTTTCAACAATAAATTGTATATACAAGGAAATTAAAGAACTAATCAATTAAGTGTGCTGCCCCAGTTTTCCAGGACTGTAAGTGGTAGTCAGTAGATCCTATGTGTCTAACTCAGAGCTCTGCTGTGGTGCTTCCTTAAACATAGCTCAATCAGGGCTTCTTCTCTCTGTTCTTATTTATACATTTATGTATTTAAATTTTTACTTCTTTATTTTCATAGGATGGACCCCTATAGGTCTTTGAAAATAAGAGCTTATTTACAAACTCAGAACCTAAAATTACAGAGAAATTAATTTTGTCTCAGTCTCACACAACAACTAAAAATACTCTAGTGTTTGGAATCAGGTACTAATGGAAAGGGGAAAATGTACTTACTAAATAACCTTGCACAAGAGCTAAAAAGTGAGAGAAACCAAACTGGCAAGCTTAAGTCTTAGGAAAGTAAATTTATAAATAGACATTAGAGAGCTTCTGTAAATAAACCCAGGAAAGATACATTAACTTATTCTTCAGTATTAAAGGATAATGGACAAAATTTATTCCATAATTTAGAAGTTCAGTATTTCCTTTAAAACCAAAAGTAAGGATCACACTGTACATCTAGTAACTTGCATTTAATGCTTATTCCCTTTTACATTGATGCTCTTTAAGAAAAGTAAATATATTGTATTCAAACCTAGATAAATATATTCACATTATTTGCATACTATAAATAATATAAAAATAAAGACATTTTAAAATTTATTCATGAAAGAATGACGGCCCTTATTCTGTTTTTTTTTCCTTATTCTGTCTTTTTATTATCTATACATGTATTTGGTCTTTGTCAGAAAGCACTGCATTTATGTAGTGTTTTATTAAGACAGTTAAGAAACAAACAGTTTGGTAGATTTATTATATTGTGTGCTAGTTTGTAAAAAATGAGATATTTATTTGTATATGTTCCAAAAGCAAAAAAAAAAAATTTGGAGATTTCATATATATCTTTAAATTCTTTCTTTTGATTTTTCTGGAAACCAATTGCAATGTCACAAATACTTTAAATGTGCAAATTGGAAGGAGTTAACATAGTAGGTTCTGTTGTCCTAATGCTATCCATAACCATTATCATGAAAGAACAAAACAAATGTGCTCAGAAACTAAGGAGGAATATCAACAAAAGGGATATCACAATTCCCATCTTGTTGGATGATAGCCCAGCATAAAACTGTGAGAACTTCCTTTTTATTTAGCTCGTATCTCTATGTGGTTGCTATAGTATATATCTCTCTTTCCAAAGACAGTATTTAGCATCCATCAATTGTTTCCACTCCTGACTGATCTTCAAATTGTTTCTAAAGAATAGCTTAAAAACAGAACTTGGAAAAGTACTGTGTTTGTAATGTTGGTGCATTAGTAGTTCAGGCAAATTAACTGATTGGGAACATATATTAATTATAGAGAATATACATTTGGTAGTAAAATACATTATTTTATAAAACGTTTCTAAATGTATATGTTTCAAAATATGCAAATAAATTTGTATTTTATCCTGATCAATAATAAATTACCTATCTGTTAAAATTGTAGATGATATGATTCATGTATAAGATAAGAAAATTGCTCTACATTAGTATATTCCATATTGCTTAATGGAAATGACATTATAGCATATGTCTGAGAAATACATCTTTTAAAATGTTTATTAAACCTTTATTCCACATTGCTTATATATGTCAGGAAACCTACATTCTAGTACTGGTTCTTCAATTAACTTGTAGTTATGATAAATGAGATGATTGCGAGAGGTAAGCTATAAGATGTTTCTAAATGGATATTATGTTAATTTAACGGGCAGTTGTATATGACTATAATTTCATTTTAAATCTATTAGCTTCATCATTGCTTGTACCCAATTCAGCAATTGAGCATTTGGTTTTTCAAAAAGTTATTATTGTAAGAAGGGTTGACATATAAAATAGCATGATAGTTCGCTATTGAGATTCAGGAAAATGTATGCTAATTTTAGGCCACATGATTTGTGTTTTCTTCCCCAAACAAGGACAATCGTAAATAGGTCTACAGTATAATGTAGTTAAATATGATGCTTTATATATTTTTTGTGTTTGCAAAGAAAATAGCAATGCCCACATAGAGGGCTACCGTGGACACAAACCTTAAGTTTAGGTGTGTGTTTGAATTTTTCAAAGATAAAACCCCTGTATAATCATCTTCAATATGTTCAGAAAGACTAGATACACAGAGAAATGTCTAAACCTAATAGATTCTATCAATGACTTCATGTATGAATATTCTTATTCCTATATATCTTCAGCATTCTCGCTGGCTTATAATCCAGAAGCTACAGATCACAGCGGCAAAATAATTTTACTTAAAGTTTCTTAACTTTTACTAAATGTACTAATTAATAATTTCAATAACTTACTTCATGAATATGGTTATACAACTTTAGTCATGCTTTCTGACTCTAGACAATCTCAACCAGAATGCAACAGAATACATTAGGTTTTTCAGAAGCATAACATTTTTCTCGTGTTTTTCTCTATCTCCTTCCTTAAGCTAGATGCTGTAATTTCAAATTTCCTATTTCTGTCACTCACTTCATTTGATCATCCTCCTCTTTTCAAGTGGTAACCACAATGTTTGTTGGTTTTTCAAATAAGGCCTTTACAATATTGTAGTGGATGCTGTGATTTTCAGCTCAGAGCTCCCATCAAGACTGAAAAATGTATTTCCCCTGCTGTGGGAAATGCTGCCAGTTGTTAGCCATCTTTGGAAATTGCTCTTAGCTGAAGGAAATCATGTCACTCATTTTGTCCTTTCAAATATATCCAATGACTGGTGGATGCAAGAGTATATAGGCCCAGACCCATCACCACAGAGTAAATGCTTCTAAAGAGTTGTCCCAGACTCAGTGGTTCATGTGGGATCAGATGCTTTTGTTGAGACTGAAATGCAACCCAACTTTTCCCCTTGCCAATTTATTCTTTCTTTTCCCTCTTCCTTTCGCTTCCTTAGGTTTTGACCCTGCAAGCGAGTCTCCACTACAGATTCTGCTTCCTGGGGACCCAAACTCTAAAGATATCTAAGTTATTTATCATCCTTGGTTATTTCTTTATTTTATACAATGGTCTTAGTCATGCATAATCCTGTAAACAAGAAAAATAATAAATTTATTTGCTAGACATCACTGGAAATAAAATACAGTATGCTCTATCTGTAATAGATTTGGTGCTGAAACCCAACAAAAGTATAATTAATACTCATTATTTAGCATTCTTTTTTTACGATCATTACTTACATGTACTTTTCAGTAGTAAAGACAGTGGGTAAATTATTTATCTGGATTTTTTAAGCTACAGTTTGAAGAATTAAGTTAACAAACACCAGACTCTTGAGTTAAAGTGTTTTCATTTATTCATGTACAACTATTATTACAGAATTTGATCTCACATTTACAAAGGTATTTTCTGTCTTTTGTTCCCTGTATTGTAATCAACGGTAACTATGTCTTCAACTTTTATTGTCAAATTATCCTGACTATTGTCATATCTTGTGACATGTGAAAAACAAATTTAAAGAGAGAAAAATATAATAAAGTATAAGCTTGTTTTAGCAAAACCAGGTATTTGGTTTAAATTTTCTCCAAGTAAGTTTAGTTTCTTGAATAAGAAAAAGATTTTAATAAGTTTTGCATACTATATATAATATCTGTTGAAATTTGAAATTATAAGAGAGACAAGAAAATGGGAACTGATAGGAAATACCTAATTGTCTAATAAATCTGGTTCCTGATTCTGAGTAGATGTGCCATTGTATATACTAGGTCTTGCACATGAAGTTCAATAATTTCTTGCATAACTGATTACATTGACGGTCTCATGATTAATCACAAGCTGCATGTTTACTTTCATTTGTTTCTCATATTAAAAAATGTAAAAAATAAGTACTTTTCTTCTACAGTGTTCTGGGATAAGAAAACATGCATATCTGGCCTAATTTATTTAGAGATTAGTACATGAAATGTCTTTTTTTTTTTTTTTAATGTTTTTTTTTTTTTTATTATACTTTAAGTTTTAGGGTACATGTGCACATTGTGCAGGTTAGTTACATATGTATACATGTGCCATGCTGGTCTTAATGTAGTCACATATGAAATATCCAATAAACAGATGTACAAATTCAGCTCAAGTCAATAGAAGAGAAAACCATAAATCTTCAAAGAAAAAATTAGTCAGGAGAAACTTAAATGGATTATTTTAAAACTGTCATTTATCATTAATGATTTCATTGGATAAATTCCAACAGGGCATTCTCCAAACACTAAGTGTGCTGTTTTGCAGCAGCATCTGCACTTGCTGCCAGACTAAGGCAGTAAGTGCTGGGACTAGAACTGGATAGGAAGGACAGTGCCGCAGGTGGCTACTTACCTGATAAAATAGGTGAGCATAGTCACACAGAAGACATGCAATAGTGCCTTCTTCTCAACAGCAAATCCATCTCTCTGCCATAATCAAAACATCAGGTGACCGCGAAGATAATTATAGGGTTGCCAAATGTAGCAAATAAAAATGTACAGCACCCAGTTCAATTTCAATTTCAAATAAACAATGGATATTTTTCTTGTATAAGAATATACCAGTTATTGCATCCTGTATTTTACCTGGCAATTCTACATATTCTACAAATTCTACAAATCAGCCTCCAAAGACAGATAGAAGAATACCAGTCAAGGTCCATTAAGGAAACCAGAAACTACTTTACGTATTTTACACAAAAGCACTTTAATACAGATAACTGGTTACATGGGTATTGGAAAACCCAATGGAACAAAAAGGAAATAGTGAGGAAACAGACTAACTGCAGGAAAGAGCTATGGATTGTAGGGCTGGGAAAAAAAAAGAGGCTTATTTCTCTGGAACACCTCATAAATAATGGAATATATCCCAACAGTTTTTAATTTGATTACAAACTAAAATGACATTACTTATGATATGGGGGATGACATGAAATATATTGTTAAAATTAATTTCACTTTTTTTTAGTTTTTGTAATATGGTTAGTAGAAAATTTAAGACTGTTAATATGACTCAGATATTCCTATTGGACAATGCTGCTCTAACAGCTTTAATTACCTCAAACATCTTCCTAACAAATTGACAGAAAGCCTCCATTAAAAAAAATCCTGGCAGTAGAATTAAGATTGAGTAGAAAATAAACACAAAATGAAAAAGTTTAGATACTAAAGTGAGAGGGTTCCACAGGAGGCAGTCAAGTCAAGGGACTTTCTATAGGAAATATGACTTGATTCCTCTGACAAATCAACATTATAAAAAGGAAGAGAAAGATAAAAAAGTAATATGAGGATCAAATCCAATATATGGACTTTGTTTGCCCCTTCACTCAAACAAAGCAATTGTAAAAAGTATCTTGAGATCACAGTGTCATTAAGTATTGCAAATTTTTGTTAAGTATTAAAATGACAATATGGTTACGAAAAAATGAAAAGTCTTTCAGTAGAGTTGTATAATAGACTATTTATGGACAAAATTGTATAATTTCTTGGATTTTTAAATAAACTTCCAGCAAAATATACAAAAAGCAGATAAAAATTACTGGTGGTGAGGGCAGGAAGGATTAACAAATTGTTAGTAACTGATGTTTGATGACGGGTAGATGAGGATTAAATAAATTTTTCACTATACATTTGTATACATTTGAGAATTTTGTAGTGAGAAGTTTAAAAATACTTTTACTTTTTCTGTAATAAATTCTATAAAAATGTTAAAAAATAAACTTTTAAATAATGTGTTAGAAAGTATTGTAGGCTAATAAAGAGTGAATCTACCATGAGTAAAGAGCTTTCTGAAGAGACATGAGAAATAATTTCAACTGTGTAAGTAATGCCATTTGAACTAAATTATGTAACTTGCTGGTTAAAAGATGATGTCATACCGGACATCAAGCAAAATACTAAAAACGTAGCTCAAAATCTCGCTATTGCCATTTAGGAGAGGAACTCCAATGTAAGGATATAGAAATGTTAAAAATGAAAAAAAGGGGATATGCCAAGAAAGAATAGTCAAATAGATACTGCTGTAGCTATAATGGTATTAACCAAGTAATTTTAAAGATATTAAGCAAATAATTGTAAAAATAAAATCTGTGAAACAGATAACATGCATAGGTAGAAATATTAAGTATGAAAGATCTAGCATTGATTAATGAATAAAATTGAGTCAGTTTTCCATGAGGAAAAAATAATCAGATTCATATAGTTAATAAAACCAAAAATTAATTATAAGAGATTTGGATAACTATGCATAATTTTTTTAAAAATGTATATATGTTTATGACCAAAGTAGGGAAGTAGATCTTAAGCAAGACTTGAAAAGTATGATTTATAAAGGAATTATTGATAAATAGGACATTAGCAGATAATAAAAAGAAAGTTAAAAGTATACATGGCAGAATGGGAAAATAAAGTTTCTTCACATATAATCTATAAATAGCTTTGGCTTTATTGATAACTTCTTTTTTTACTTTAAGCTGAGTGGTGGGCAATTGTATATTTGCTGTATTATTTATATCTTGAAGAAAATATAAAACACTTTTAATAAAAAATAAAGGAACATGCATATGTTCAAAAAGTAAGCATGATTAAGCTAATGACAGAGATAATAAAAATAAATATTAAATCTTTTAAAGGTGACAGGACAAATCTATATTATTATAAAAGTATTGTCTTCTAGGAGGCATACCAACCTGAAACTTCAACAAATAACAATAGAGCAATAAAACAAAAACCCTTAATATAATTTGTTCATAATTAAAACAGCATTATTCTTGTATTTAAGTAGTATTTTCAAATGACAGAAGGTATAAATTTCAAGTGTACTGTCCAATATATTTCGAGAAACTGTAGCCTCTGTGATCTACACTTCTCTAAATATATAGAATATTTCCATTATTCCAAAATACAAAATATTTTCAGTATCCCCTCCATCCCTTGTTCAGTCTCCCCAAAAGAGAGCCAGTTTGCTGATTTCTACAACCACAAATCAGTTTTGACTCTCCTGTATCTTCAAATAAATGGAAAGATTTAATGCCTGCTCCTTTGTTTCTGATTTCTCTCACTTACCTTTTTTTTTTATATTTACCCATGTTGCTGAATTTATTAGTAGTTCATTGGTTTAGTGATTTCTTTAGGCATTATAGTAAGCATCCAGAACTCATCACAGTCAACCTGGAATAAATACCATTTATTTTATGTGTATTTTACAAACTTTACAAAAGTATACACTGCCTTACCCTGCTCCTGTCCATTTTACTGTTTGGTCATACATTCTACTTGCATGTTCTATATACCCCAAAATAATATATTGTTTTCATTTTTTATGTAATCAGTCAATGGCCTTTTTAAAACTCTAAGAAATAATAAATAGAATTTTGTTGACCCATATGTTTACCATTTCAGTGCTCTCTGATTCATCATGTAGACCCAAGTTTTATTTTAAGTATCTAATGATTAATACTCTCAGCTTTTGTTTATCCGAAAAATGCCTTTAACTCTAATTCTAAAGACATTTAAATATACAGTTTTAGTCTTCTGAAAAAAATCAGAACTTGTTACTGCATTGTCTTCTGGCTTGTTCCATTCTGATAGATGTCATACTGTTGTTTCTCTGTATGTAAGATATCTTACTGATCTGCCTGCTTTCAAGATTTCTCTTGTCTTTGGGTTTTGGAAGGTAGACTATAACATGCCTAAGTATGTCTTGATGTGGGTTTAGACTTCTTGGGTTTTATTAACCCTTGTAGAACAAACACACACATAAACACATGTTAGGTTACTAGATACTGTCACACAGGTTGATGGGGTTCCTTTCATTTTTTTTCGGTCTCCACTTTCATTTGGATAATTTCTAATTAATGTCTTCAAGTTCACTATTTCTGTACTGTGTGCTGTGAAATCTGCAGTAAAGCCCGTCTAGTACATTTGTCATTGATATTATTTTTTCCAATTCTTTGATTTTGATCTGGTTCTTTGGTTTTTGCAGTTTCCGTCTCTGACTTGAGTTTTCATTCAACAACCCATCATGCTGGGACTTCTTTTATATTCTTGAACGTGTCTGTAATAGATGTTTCATGCTCCTTATCTGCTAATAATAGGATCTCTGTCACTTCTAAGTCTGTTGCTGTTTACTATTTTTTTCCTCTGGTTACAGGTTACATTTTATTTATTTTAATGTCTAATTTTATTATTATTATATAATGAACATTATGCTGCTACGTTAATGAGAGTCTTGTGTTACTTCCTCTGAAGAGTGTTGATTTTGTTTTGAAAGTAGTTTAATTTACTATTATTCAGCTGGACCTCATGCAGTTTTTGTTTAGCTTTTGTTAGGATACATTTAGTATCCTAGTATCTAGTCTAAGATTAGAATAATCTTGTCCTAAGGGATAGTCTTTCTGTTTTCTCAACTAAATTCCTGATGTTTTTAAAAATGTATCTGCACTCTGGCTAATGAGAGCACCATGTGACCTATGAAATATCCACTCAGTTCTTAGTCCCCCAGTGGCTGTTCACTCAGACCTCGCAGAGACTTAATCTGCAATTGTGTTTAGTATTTGGCCAAAATTCAAGAAAAACTTATGCAAATTTCTGACACTTCCCCTCTATATACTTTCTTTATCTCCAGTTCCCTGACCACAGATACAACCTCCTTCAGAATCCCTATAGCCTAAACTTTGTTACTTCCACTTCACTAATCTGCAAACTTCTATGTTTATTCCATGTCCCAGTATCATAATACACAGAATGCTCCAAAACGGGGCAAACATGGTCCTTACCTCTGTTATTTTTTTTTTCTCGTGGATAGCAATCATACACTATCTTCTTTCCAGTACCTCAAAAAAATGTTGCTTCAGATGGTGAATGCAGTTTGACAATTTTTCCTAGAAGTGAGGAAGAGGAAAATAATATGTTCATTATCCTATCATGGCAGAGACTAGAATTCTACAGGAGAAAGCTGATTAATCTAAAATCATAATGTGAGAACATCTGTCAGAAAATGGCACATTAACCAGATATGTAAGTTTCACAGAATTTGACTATTTATTAGGCCACAGTGAAAAAATAAAATCTCTGGGAATAAAAACATATGGGTCTCATTATTTAGACACATTGCAGTGAATTTGAAAGTGGATATAAAAAGGTATGCCGTTTTATGGACCATTAATGAATTTACAATAATTTAAAATAATGTAATTGTATAAAGTATATTATCTTGCCACAATAAAATGAAATTAGAAATTAATAAAGAAAAGATATACAGAAAATCACCAGATGTTTAGAAATTAAACAAGACATTTTTAAATAATACATGAGTCAGTGAAGGGATTAAAAGGTAATTTAGAAAGTATTCTGAATGGGATAAAAATGAAAATACAGTATATTAGAATTTTTGAGATGCAGCTAAAATAGCATATGAATGAAGACTTTTGCATTAAACAGTTCTGTTAAAAAAAGTTCTTAGCTTACACCTTAATAAATAACTGAAAGAACAAATTCAACCCAAAATAGGCAGTAAAAGAAGGTAATAAAGATTACACCAGCAATTAATAAACTGCAAAACAAAAAAAAATAGATAATTTAACCAAACACTGGCTATTTGTAATAGTCAAAAAATTAATAAATTGAAACAAAACTTATCAACATAAAAAGAGAAAACAACCAATATCAATAGTGGGAGAGATTACACTACTGAAGCTTATTCAAAAATTAATATAACAATAATTTAATATTATAAAATAATATACAAATAAATTTGACAACCGAGATAAGGTGAACAAATGCTTAAAAATACAAACTACCAAAGTTTGGTCAAGAAGAAACAATTACTGCAAGTGCGCCCATTTTTAATGTCATAAACCTATTTTTAATGTTGAGTGCATTGTAGTTAAAGAACCTTCCCACAAATAAAACTCCAGGCACAGATTGCTTCTAAGGTGAATTCCGTCAAACATTTAAGAGAAAAAAAAATCCATTCTATACAAAGTTCTACAGAAAATCAAGACGAGGAAAACTTTTAACTAATTCTATGAGACTAGCTTTTTCTCGATACTAAAACCAGGCAAAAACATGACCAAAAAAATAAAAATAAATAAAACTATAGCTCAATATCACACATGAGCTTAGAGGCAAAATTTTAAACCAATTTTAACAAATCTAATACAATAATGTATTAAAAGACTGCCATTTATGACTCAATGGGGTTTACCCCAGAGCTGAAAATTTGGTTTAATGTTTGAAGAGTAATAAAAAGAATTCACCATAATAGAAGACTATTAAAAAAAACACCACATGACGTTTTCAATAGAGACAGAAAAAAACATCGGAAAAATCCAACATCCATTTTTTGATAAAACCTCTCAGGAAGCTGGGAACATAGGGACCTCCCTCAACCTGAGGAGAGTCATCTACTAAAAGCCAGTAGCTAACATTATACTTAGTGAGGAAAGACTGCTATCCCCACTAACATAAGCATATGTTATGTTAGGAGACTAGGAGTTCTGCTTTCACCACCTCTTTCTAACATTTTACTGAAAGTTCTAATTAGTACAACAAGGCAAGTGTAAGATATAAAACACATACAGATTGGAAAAAGAAGTGTAATTGTATTTCGTTAGAGATAATATGATCACCTACATGGAATACCCTATTAAATCTGTAAGATCAATATGCAAAAATCAATTATAATAATAAATATTAGCAATGAACACTTAGAAACAGAAATTTTAAAAACACCACTTATAATAGCATCACACATGTAAAATATTAAGAATAGATATAATAAAAAATATGTGATATCTGTCCACTAAAAACTTTAAAACTTTAAAATATTGCTTAAATATATTACAAAGAAAACCAAAATTACTGGAACAATGTACTGTGCTTATGTAGTGAAATCTCAATATTGTTAAGATATCATTTCTCCCAAAATTGATTTATACATTCAATGCAATCCTAAACAAAAATTTAGTTATTTTTTTTTTTTAAAGAATGAGATGTGCTGATTCTAAAATTCATATGGAAATGGAAAGCACATAAAATGGCTAAAGTGGGTTTAAAAAGAAACAAATTTAGAGTACTTATGCTACCTGATTTTAAGAATTATTGTAGCGCATCAGTAATAAAGACAAGATGGTTTTGGTGTAGAGATAGACAAATAGGTCAAAGGTTCAGAAGAGAGTCCAGAAATAGATCCACACATATGTAGACAGGTGAATTCTGATCAAGATGCTAAAGCAATTCAGTGAAGAAAGAATAATGTTTTTAACATATTGTTTGGGGAAAATGGATATTCATATGTGAAACAGACAAAGAAAAAAAAAAGCCTTCAATGATACTTCACATTATATGCCAAAAATATCTTACAATGAATCATAAGCTTAAATGTAACACCTGAAAATATAAAACTTCTAGAAGAAACTTAGAAGAGAATCTTTAGGGTCGTGAGTTAGGCAAAAATTTCTTACATACAACACCAAAATACGATCTATAGTTTAAAAAATTACACTTATTGAATTTCATAAAAACGTTGATTTTTGAAAGACAATGTTAAGATTATAAAAAGACAAGAAACAGACTAGGAGAAAATAATTAACACATGACATATACAATGTTGTATCTAGAATATATTTAAAAACCTCAAAACTCAATGATAAAACAAAACTCAATGGAAACAAATGAGCAAAATATTTGAAGATACATTACCATAGAAGAGCTACAGATAGCAGATAAGCAGAATACCACTTTGTCATTAGGAAAATGTTAATTAAAACCATAATAATATGCCACTACACACCTATTAGAATGGATACATTTAAACAGATTGTCATACCATTGTTGGCAAACATGTGGAGGAACCGGGACTCATAGAATGCCAGTGGGAATTCAAATTGTTAAATCACTTTGGAAAAATTTTGGCATTTCCTTAAACAAACACATAACCAGCACATGACCCACTTATTCCATTCTTAATTATTTGCTGAAGTAAAATGAAAGTAT